>NC_000001.11:243456848-243608364 GCF_000001405.40 Homo sapiens | reverse complement strand
TGCTCTAGAAAGTTTACCTTGAATTATAATTTGAGTTAGGGGTTTAGCATGCTCTTGATTATGCTTGTGATTTTTATGTGTTTGTCAATATAAGTCACATGCCATGTAGCAATGTTGAAGTCAATGATGGATAGCACAATGGTAGTCCGATAAGACAAACATGCACAGGTTTGTAGCCTAGGAGCAATAAGCTATACCATATAGCCCAGGTGTGTAGTAGGCTATGTTGTCTAGGTTTGTGTAAGTCACTCTGTGATGTTCACACAATGATGAAATTGCCTGTATTAGTTCTCACACTGCTGAAAAGAACTGCCCCAGACGGGGTAATTTATAAAGGAAAGAGGTTTAATTGACTCACAGTTCCGCAGGGCTGGGGAGTCCTCAGGAAACTTACAATCATGGTGGAAGGGGAAGCAAACATGTCCTTCTTCACATGGTGACAGGAAGAAGTGCTGAGCAAAGGGGGAAAAGCTTCTTATAAAACCGTCTTGTGAGAACTCGCTGACAATCACAAGAATCACATAGTGGTAACCACCCCCATAATTAAATTACGCACCAGGGCCCTCCCATGACATGGGGATTTTGGGAGCTACAATTCAAGATGAGATTTGGGTGGGGACACAAACTATATCATTCTGCTCCTGGCCCCTCCCAAATCTCATATCCTCACATTTCAAAACACAATCATGCCTTTCCAACAGTCCCTTAAAGTCTTAATTCATTTCAGCAATATCCCAAAAGTCCAAGTTCAAAGTCTCATCTGAGACAAGGCAAGTCTCTTCTGACTATGAGCCTGTAAAGTCAAAAGCAAGTTAGTTACTTCCTAGATACAATGGGGGTACAGGCATTGGGTAAATACACCCATTCCAAATGGGAGAAATTGGCCAAAACAAAGGAGCTGTAGGCCCCATGCAAGTCTAAAGTCCAATAGTGCAGTCATTAAACCTTAAAGTTCCAAAATGATCTCCTTTAACTCCGTGTCTGACATCCAGATCATGCTGATGCAAGAGGTGGGCTCCTATGGCCTTGAGCAGCACCACCCCTGTGGCTTTGTAGGGTACATCCCTCCTCCCAGCTACTTTCATGGGCTGGTGTTGAGTGTCTGTGGCTTTTCCAGGTGCACTGTGCAAGCTGTCAGTAGATTACCGTTCTGGGGTCTGGAGGACAGTGACCCTCTTCTCACAGCTCCACTAGGCAGTGCCCCAGTGGGGACTCTGTGTGGGGGCTACAACACCACATTTCCCTTCTGCAGTGCCCTAGCAGAGGTTCTCCATGAGGACTCTGCCCCTGCAGCAGACTGGTCATCCAAGTGTTTCCACACATCCTCTGAAATCTAGGTGGAGGTTCCCAAACCTTAATTCTTGTCTTCTGCACACCAGCAGGACCAACACCACATGGAAGCTGCCAATGCTTGGGGCTTGCACCCTCTGAAGCAATGGCCTGAGCTGTACATTGGTCCCTTTTAGCCACAGCTGGGACTGAAGCAGTTGGGATGCAGGGCACCATGTCCCAAGGCTGCACAGAGCCGGGTTGGGGGGCCCTGCTTTTGGGCCCTGGCCCTGGCCCACAAAACTGTTTTTCCCTCCTAGGCCTCTGGGCCTATGATGGGAGGGGCTGCTGCAAAGGTCTCTGAAATGCCCTGAAGACATTTTCTCCTTTGTCTTGGTGATTAACATCTGGCTCCTTGTTACTTATGCCAACTTTTGCAGTGGGCTTGAATTTCTCCCCACAAAATGGGTTTTTCTTTTCTATTGTATTGTCAGGCTGCAAATTTTGCAAACTTTTCTTCTCCGCGTTCTCTTCAATGCTTTGCCACTTAGAAATTTCCTCCACCAGATACCCCCAAATCATCTCCTTCAAGTTCAAAGTTCCTTAGATCTCTAGGGCAGGGGCAAAATGCCACCATTCTCTTTGGTAAAGCATAGCAAGAGTCACCTTTACTCCACTTACCAGTAAGTTCCTCGTCTTCATCTGAGGCCACCTCAGCCTGGACTTTATTGTCCATATCACTGTCAGCATTTTGGTCAAAGCTATTCAACAAGTCTCTAGGAAGTTCCAAACTTTCTCACGTTTTTCTGTCTTCTTTTGAGCCCTCCATACTGTTCCAGCCTTGCCTGTTACCTGGTTGGAAAGCTGTTTTTACATTTTTGGGTATCTTTACAGCAGCACCACACTCTCTGTGGTACCAATGTACTGTATTAGTCCATTCTCTGTTCTCATGCTGCTGTGAACTGCCCGAGACTGGGTAATTTATAAAGGAAAGAGGTTTAATTGACTCAGTTCTGCAGGGCTGGGGAGACCTTAGGAAACCTACAATCGTGGTGAAAGGGGAAGCAAACATGTCCTTCTTCACATAGGAGCAGGAGAGAGAAGTGCTAAGCAAAGGAGGAAAAGCCCCTTATAAAACCATCAGATTTCATCAGAACTCACTCACTATCAGCAGAACAGCATGGAGATAACCAGCCCTGTGATTCAATTACCTTCCAGTGGATCCCTCCCACAACACATTGGGATTATGGGAACTACAGTTCAAGATGAGATTTGGGTGGGAACACAGCCAAACCATATCTGCCTACCAGCAAGTTTCTCAGGCCATATCCCAGTTGTTAAGTAATGCATGACTGTATTTGGAGCACTAAAAATTTTTGATGAAAGTGAATTGTGAAAGAAATGTTGGCTGTGAAAAATCAGCCCTAACTTCTTACGGTCGTATTGGTACAATGGAATTTCATCATAGTTGCATGTAATTTATATGAATTCAAAGAAGTGGGCTCAATAAGATATAGCTGAGATAGACAAGTTGATTTAAATGATGTGATTATTCTGCTCTTTTTCTCAATTTCTCAATGAGTGTATTTACAGAGTGACCTTAGGATGAGAGATATAAATTTGCTATTCTTTACTCCTTGTTACTTCCTACTTTCCATGCATAGAGCTTCATGGAATATAAACTCTGGTGTTTTAAAATACAAAACTTACATAAAATGTCATTGAGTGCATTGTAACTGCAGGTGTTCATTTAAAGAAACTATTTTCTGGCCAGGCCTGGTGGCTCATGCCTGTAATTCTGGTGCTTTGGGCAGCTGAGATAGGAGGATTGCTTGAGGCCAGGAGTTTGAGACCAGCCTGGCGAACATGGTGAGATCCCGTGTCAAAAAAAAAAAAAAGTTAGCCATGTATGGTGATGTGTACCTGTAGTCCTAGTAAATTAATCAGGAAAGCTGAGGTGGGAAGTTCACTTGAGCCGAGGAACTCAGGGTTATAGTGAGCCATGGTTGTGCTACTGCACTCCAGCGTGGGCAACAGAGTGAGACCCTGTCTCTAAAGAAAATAAAAGAAAAAAGACTATATTATTGTACCAAAGATAGAAAACTGTCCTGGGTTTAACTATGTCGAGAGATGACAGTATGTTGGTCTCCAGTGTAATACCGTTCTAAGGAATGTTTGGGAGTGATTTGATTATTTTTGATACCTTATGGATTAACTTTATAATCTAGTACATTATCATTCATCTATTAAATAATGAGCAACTTCTGTGGGCTAGACCTCAGAAGATTCATAAATAAGGAAAACATACTATTTTTCCTTTGATGAGTGACTTACTGGGGAGATAGATGAGAAAATACTTGTATACACTGCAGTGACATGGTTGCTCTGATAATACTGGTTACTGTGCATGGAGAGAATGAGCACTTTAATGAACCTGAGGAGCAGAGGAAAGGAAAGCAAAGGGTGCCAGAGTAGGAAACTCTTCTTAAAAAGTGGTTGCTAGGCTAAGACGTAAGAATAACTATACATTATATCACTAAGGTTGGGAAGGAGAGCATTCCTACACAGGTAAAATGGCATGTGTAGAGTACACAGGAGCAGACAGGTTCCCCCACCCACCGAATATAGCACAGTGTGGATAATGCATAGAGTTCTGCAGAGGAAAGCCAGAGAGTCTGCACAGGTAGTCAGAATCACATTAAGACAGATCTTCACTCTCAAGTCATTTAGATGAAGGCAGTGGAGCATCATGGAAGAATTTCTTTGGGGGAAATGTTTAGAAAGAATACTTGGCAGTATAGAGGTTGAAGTAGAGAGGACAAAAGTGGAAGCAAGGAAAATACTTGGGAGGTTGCTGCAGTTAGAAGGTTTTCAGTAATTCACTTATAAAAATGATAAGGTTGTCGGATGTGGTGGCTCATGCTTGGAATCTCAGCACTATGGGAGGCTGAGGTGGGTGGATCACCTGAGGCCAGGAGTTTGAGACCAGCCTGACCAACATGGAGAAACCCCGTCTGTACTAAAAATACAAAATTAGCCAGGCCTGGTGGCGCATGCCTGTAATCCCAGCTACTTGGGAGGCTGAGGCAGGAGAATTGCTTGAACCTGGGAGGTGGAGATTGCAGTGAGCCTAGATTGCACCATTGTGCTCCAGCCTGGGCAACAAGAGCAAAACTCCATCTCAAAAAAAAAAAAAAAAAAGATTATTAATTGAAGCAGTGTTAGAAGGAAGCAAATTCTAGTAATATTTAGTTATTAGAATCACCAGGATTTAATGAATAAATATGCAGAGAAGTATCATATGATTTCCTGTTTGCTGCTTGGGGAATTGTGGATACTGGAGTATTTATAAAAATAGAAAACACAGGGAGAAGAATGAGTTCTTAAGCAGATCATGCTATATTTGAGGCACCTAGTGTGGCAGCCAAGGAGTGGGGAGAGTTAAATCAGAGATACAAATAGGCATCATGAGCAGTGTTAAAACCCAGGAAGTGAGGAAATATCCAATGTGAGGAAAGTATGTACAGTTAGAACATCAGTGGCCAAGGATGGTGCCTGGAAATGCCAGAGTAAGGCATGCTGTAGACACAGCTGTAGATGCAGTGAGACTAGTGCACAGGTGTAGAGGCAGAGAGAAGCCTAAGGAGGATCCTGGGCAGGAGGAGCCAGACAAGAGAAGCCTTAGAAGTTAAGGAGAGATTAGGTACAACAGAGTATATTAAATACTGTACAATGATAACTGAGAATTGTCCATTGGATTTGCCATCTAATAGTTCCTATGGAGACTACCAGGGATTCTTCCTTTTCTGGTTTGGTACAAGGTATGCACCTTGGCTGTAGTACAGAATGTAAAAGGGTTGGTTTGGAGCCCAGTAGAACAAGGTTGTAAGAGTGAGTTCAGTGCAATTTCAGTGGGGCATTTGTAGAACTGATTGTAAAATCTCTCTAATAATATGACCAATCACACTGCTAATATATCCAGGCAGCTCTCTTTTTATTCCTTAAATGTTACTAAATTTACATGAGAAGCAGAAAAATATCCTGGGAGAATAAAGTAGACAAAATTGACTAAGGAGGTGTTTTTGTTTTCTTTGGTTTAGGAAGTCTCTACTTAGGACTTGTTTCCAAAATCTTACTCATAGCTTCATTTATTTCAGGCTTATTTGTTGGACCTCTGCAAATCTCTCTCAAGTCTGAAGTTTCCTGAAGTTAAAGATTCATTAGGGGAGTAAAGGAAAATCATTGTGTAGAAATGCTATTCATCTGATAAATTCTTCACATTCCTCTATTTTCTTTATGTAGGTTGTAATGAAGCTAACAGTTTCAGTTATGTACTACTATTTTTGTCCATACTTAGTTCATTGTAAACTCTATATTAATTTCTTTGATAACATGTATTTGATTTTTTTGCAATACGGCTTTCAGGTTCTTGCCATTCTTGAGATTCTCATGCTTATTCAGATTTCTCATTTGGCTGGCATTTTGTTATCAGTGAACCAAAATTATCTCATTTTAAATTCACATAAGACAAAAGCACCAGTAGTCAGTATTCTAGTTCTCCTTACTAATTTACGGAGGTGTGATCTGGGTGATTTTTAAATTAATTTAATTATCATTTCATATTCATAGTGATGATTTTTAAAATTTTACAAAGTTTTCAGGTATATAAACATCTTTATTGTCAGGTGTCTGACAAGCTAATTTCTTTGCTAACTATTTTAGTTATTAATATATTATGTAGGTTGTATCAGAATTTTGTTTTTCACCCAATGCTTTTTCAAAATTCCCAAGTCAAGAAGGATGCATTACAATGTTTACATTAGCATCTAAAGGCAATGTAAAGTCGGGAAGCATTTTTAGTATATAATTTCATAATTCAAAGACATTTTTAAAAAATGAATGGTTAAACCAGTATCTCACTGCATTAAATGTAATTGAATGCATTGAATTTAGTTATTAGGAGATGTTATTACAAGCCTCAACATGTAACATGCTTGCTTACAAATCTAAAATCTCAGATCAAGTGGCTGGAACTGCAGGGGCCTGCCAGGCATCTGGGTATTTACATGATTCCTTTCCATGTGGTTATGGCAGAGCATGGCCATTTCAAGGTAGTCAAACTTCTTACACAAAGGCTGGCTTACCACAGAGTGGGTATTTCAAGGGAGGGAAAACAGAAGAAGCAACATATGTATAATTGGAAACCCTGAGGAGGAAAAAGAGGGCAGTGACACAAAACAGTATTTAAATATCAAAAACTATAATCTGAAAACATACTTACAGGCTTTTGTGTTCTCCATTTTTCACTTAGCATAATACTTTTAAAATTTATAGATACTGTTCCATATATCAGTAGTTTGTTTCTTTTTATGGCTTTGCTCCGTTGTGTGATGTACAGTCATATGTTTATATAGTTGCCCCTGGATAGACGTTTGGGTTCTTTACATTTTGGGCCTATTAGAATAAAAGCTCGTGAATATTCCAGTACAAATCTGTGTGTGAATATATATTTTTAATCTTCTTGGGTAAATACATAGAAATGCAATTTCTGTGTCATTTGTTATGATCAACTTCATTAAAAACTGCAGACTCTTTTCAAAATCAGCCATACCATTTTGCATTCCCAGGATGTTACTTGACAACATCACCACACTTGGCATGGTAGTCTTTTTAAATTTTACTCATTCTGGTGGATGTATAGTGGTATTTTTTAGCTTCAATTTGAATTTCTCAAATAACTAATGATATTGAACTTCTTTTCTTATTCTGATTTGCCATTTATACATCATCTTTTTTGAAGTATCTTAAAATCTTTTGTCTGTTTTAAAAATTAGGTTGTTGTCTTAATATTGAGTTGTCAGATTTATTTATTTCATGTAAGGGCTTTATCATATATATATTTTATAAATATTTTCTCCCATTTTATAGTTTGTCTTTTCATTTCATAATGGGAAATTGTTCCAAAATACACTTTTGTTGTAATCTATTGTAATCAGCATTTTAATGCATAGTTAGCATTCAGTAAAATTAATCAATTTTGACTGTACAATTTAGTGAGTTTTGACAGCTGTATAAAGCAGTTTCCCATCACCACAATCATGATCTAGAATGTTTCTTTCACAACAGAGCCTCGCATGTCTCTTTAAAGTCAATTCTCTCCCCTCACTCTCACCCTGAAAACCACTGATAGGCTTTCCAACCAGTATGAAGGGCAGACTTCTAAATTAGAGGAAACACAATTCATTGATTATTTTCTCTTATGATTTGTACATTTTGTTTTTAAAACATCTTTTTCTAACTGAAGTTTGTTAAGATTTTTTTCTAAAGTCAAAGCTAGACCTGTTGGGTGGTGGCAGGTCGGGGAGATTTTCTTTTATGCTTTCTTCTAGAAGTGTTAATAGTTTTAGCTCTTGCATTTAGGTCTATGAGCCATTTCAAGTTAATTTTAATGTATACTGCTACATAAGGGTCATGTTTCATTTGTTTCTTGCAAAGTGATATCTAACTGTTCCAGCATATTTGTTGAAAAGACTGTCTTTCTCCCATTGAATGATTTGGTACCCTTGTCAAAAATCAGTCATATATGTGTGGGTCGATTTCTGGACTCTGCATTCTGTTGTATTGGTCTATATCTATCCTGAAACCTATACCACACTGTCTTCACTATGCCACACACTTACTTTAGAATAAGTGTTAAAATCAGGCAGCTTGAATCTTTCAATTTTGATATTCTTTTTAAATTTGGTTTTGCTATCCAATTTCCTTTGCATTTCCACATAAATTATAGAGTAAGCTTGTTGAATTCTACATAAAAGCCTCCTGGATTTTAATTGTGATTGTGTTAAATCTGTTGATCAATTTGGGGAGAATTGACAGTTTCACAGTGTTGTCTTCTGATTCATAAATATGGTATATGTTTTCCCATTATTTAAGTCTTTAATTTCTTTCAACAATATTATGTAGTTTTTAGTGTACAGGTCTTGAAAGTTTTAAAAATTTATCCTTAGGGATACTTTATAATTATTTTATGTTTTTAAGTTATAAATGGTTTATCAGTCATTATTAAAAATTTCAATTTGTAGTTGATTCTTGCTAATATATAGACATACAGTTGATGTTTACTTATTAGCCATACTAATATTAGTTTTAGTAGTCTTTTATTGTAAATATATTGGATTTCTCTATGTAGATGATCATGTCAGGTGAGAACAAAGACAGTTTTACTGCTATTTTCTAATATGTGTACATTTCCTTGCCTTATTAAACTATCCAGGATGTTTAGAACAGTGTTAAAGAGCAGGATAAGAGCAAATATCCTTGCTTTATACCTAATTTTAGGGCAGAAGCATTCATACTGTCACCATTAACCATGTTGTTAGCTGTAGATTTTTCGTAGATGCTCTTTATTAAAAGTTGAAGAATTTCTATTAGTAATTTGATGAGTTTAAATAATCTTAGTTTGATTAGCTCTGCTTCTTTGTTCTTATGGTGGTAGCTTTAGGGTTTAGAATATGTATCTTTTCTCATCACGGTAGACTTTCAAACAATATGCTGTGTCACTTTACCTGTACTGTAAGAACCTTATAACAGCATACGTCTATTTTCTTACCTTCTATCTGAACCTTAAAAGGCATACATCTGTTTCCCTGCCTTCTGTCTTTTGTGCAGTTGTTCTCAGACATTTTACTTCCATGTATTTTTTAACCTTTACAATACACTGTTTTTGCCTTAAGCAATTATCTTTAAAATAATTTTTAATAGAAAAAATGTTTTATATTCATAAAGTAGTCATTTTAAGTGTTCTCTTTTCCTTTGTGTTGGTATACATTTTCATCTATTACATTTTCCTTTTGCATAAAAACTTCCTTTAGCATTTGTTTTTGTAGTGCAGGTCTGATAGCCGTAACTTTTGTTAGCTTTTATTTGTGTGAGAAAATCTGCATTTTGTCTTAAGATGTTTCCCTTTCTTTAAAACAGTTTTGCTGAGTTAATAACAAATTATAAATAATTTGTACATATTTAAAGTGTACAATCTGATAACTTTTGACCCATGAAATCATCACCACGATAAAAATAACATCCCCACAAATGTTCTCCTATACAGGAGATTTTAGGAGGAAAGGTGCATTTGAACTAAATCTTCAAGAACAGGTATGTTCCCCAAATAAGATTAGCTCATTCAATCAAAAGTATGTATTAAATGCTTACTGCGTTCGCTAGGATGAATAAAACAGTCATGATTTCTAGAAGGAGATGCATATTATAAAATAATAAAACAAAATAAACCCAATAAATATAATGGCAACAGAGTGCTGTAGTATGAGAGAGAATGATGGAGAACCTACTATAAATTTAGTTATCTCTTTGAGGAAGTAGTGTTAGGTTGACATTTGAAGGGTATGTGGGAAGGAACTTCCTGTGCTCTGATGAGAGAAGCCTGTTGAGCATGAGACTTTAGGGCACGGCTGTAGATGCAGTCATCTTTTTGCAAGGATGGGCTGAATACCTGTTCACTTACTAAACCGTGGGAGTACAGCTACACTCTAGTGCAGTTCCTGTTAGGCTATTATGAGAGAGAGTTATGGAGAAAATTTCTTCCTAATAGAATGATGAAATATGCTTGTATATTTAGTAGTTTGAGTTAATGCATTTTACATTACTGTATTCCTATAGCATGGCTAAGCTTAACAATAAAAAAAAACTATGTAGTCTTTGCCTTTATAAAGGAACTTAACTTGATAAAGATAAGCTCCCTATTTTAGCAGCAAATAATTCACTTTCCTTTTTGAACAAAGATAAGATTATTCAACTATTATATATGATTTTTAATACTTCCAATGAAAATATTTTACCTCAAAAACCTTAAGGATGATTTTTCTTATAATTTTTTGAGAGGTATTTCTGAATTTAATTTTATTTTTTGCAATACATATTTATGAAGAATATAATATGTGTCATATACTAGGCATGGTGCTGAAGATGCAAAGATATGGTGTACTGTCATAATTTTCTCATTTTCCTATGCCTTTGCCAAGAAAAAAATAGAGCATTAAATTTATAATAAGCATAAATCAGTACATTAATTATTAGTACATTTATTTGAAACCTTTGAATAATTTTTTTCTATTGCAAAAGTGATAATGTACATTCATTACAGAGAACTTCAAAAAGCCAAAAAAATTATTTTAATTCTGTCAAAAAAGTTCTTATTGAATGCTGCTTTCTTCAAGGCAGGCACTGTACTATGTGCTTAGTATACTACATGAGCAAGACAGATGGTCTCTGCATTTAAGAAGGGCATAGGCCAGGCCCAGTGGCTCATGCCCAGCACTTTGGGAGGCCAAGGCAGGAGGATCACTTGAACCCAAGAGTTCAAGACCAGCCTGAGCAACATAGGGAGACCCTGTATCTACCAAAATAGTTAAAAATTAGCCAGGTGTGGTAGCCAGTGCCTGTGCTCCCAGCTACTCGAGAGACTGAAGTGGGAAGATTGAGTGAGCCCAAGAGGTTGAGGCTGCAGTGAGCCATCATGCGACTGCACTTCAGCCTTGGCAACAGAGTGAGACCCTGTCACCAAAACAAAACAAAACAAAACAAAAATGCATAGTATTCTGGGGAATGGATATTAAATAATTACAAGTATTTTTTGAGGTATGAAACAGAAGATAAAAACCACTCTAAATCTTACCATCTAGAAATAATTGCTAATACCGTGTTAATATATTTTCCACTGTTTATACTGTACACATATTTTCAATTTTATCATTTTAAAATATGTTACTTGTTGCCTACTAATTATGTAGATACACTTTAACTTATTAAAACCTTCCCAAATCATTGAACGTTTAGGTTGTTTTCATTTTTTAGTCAACTTAAGTATAATTTACATATAATGAAATGAACTCATTTTAAGTATATGATTAGATGACTTCTGACAAACATATATATGCATGTAGCCCCCATCACAATAAAAATATAAAACATTCTCATTGCCTCAAAAAGTTCTGCCATGCCTCTTTGCAGTCAGTCTTCCCTGTACCCATAGTACATCCACACGTGGCCCTAGGTAGCCATTGGTCTGCTTTCAGACACTAAAGATTTGATTCATCTTTTTAAAAATGTCACAGAAATGAACTCATACAATATATACTGTCTTGTATCTACTTCTTTCATTCTGCGTAATGTTTTTTGAGATTGTTAACTTTGTTGCATTTCTCAGTCATTTATTTCTTTTATTGTGAAGTCATTATCCTTTGCACAGCTATACCACCATTTGTTAATCTCTCCCACTGGTGACGTACATGCGGATTAATACCAGTCATTGCCTAATATGAATAAAGCTGATAGGCCTGTTTCTTTTCTCTTTAATTAATACTGAAGAGTATGATTGTTGGATTTATGGTAAGCATATGCTTACATTTTACAAAAATTTAAAACTGTTGTGTCATTTTACAGTCTCAGCATTAATGTAATGAGAATTTTAGGTGTTCTGCACCCTCACCAGTGCTTGCTGTGGTCAGTGGTTTTCATTTTAGTCATTCTAACGAGTGTGTGGGAGTATGTTACTGTGGTTTTAAGTTGCGTTTCTCTTATGACTAATGATAGGAAATGTCTTCACTCAGACTTTTTGCCATTGCATATACTTTTGTGACCTGTCTATTCAAATATTTCACCTATTATTCGGTTGTTCATCTTCTTACTGAATTATAGGAGTTCTTTGGATGTTCTGGTTACAAATAGTTTGCCAAATATTTGTATTACAAATGGTTTCTTCCAGACTGTAGCTTGCCTTTTCATTTTCTCAGTGATGTCTTTTGAGGAACAGACGTTTTTAATTTTGATGTCTTATTTATCAATTCTTGCCTTTTATGGTTTTCACTTTTTTTGTGTACTGTCCAAGAAATGTTTGTGTACCCCAGGTCACACATCTTTCTCCTATTTGTTATGTGTCACGTGCTATATAATAAGTTTCTGTCAACAGTGGGCCATGTATATGACAATACCATAAGATTATAATGTAGCTGAAAAATTCATATTGCCTAGTGATGTAAATGTTGTAAGTCATACTGCAGTGCATTACTCACATGTTTTGGTGATGCTGGTGTAAGCAAACCTGTGCTGCCGGTTGTGTAGAAACATAGCACATGCAGTTAGATACATAATACTTGATTGTGATAGTACATGACTGTGTTACTTCTTTATTTTATATATTGTACTTTTCATTGTTTCTTAAAGTGTATTACTTTCACTTATTTAAAAAAAAATAGGTAACTGTAAAACAGCATCAGGTGGGTCCTTCAGGTGATATTCCAAAAGAAGGCATTGTTAGCGTAGGAGATGACTACTCGATGCCTGCTCCGAAAGACCTTACAGTGGGACAGGATGTGGAGGTGGAAGACAGTGATACTGATGATCCTGACTGTGTAGGTTTAGGCTAACGTATATGCTGTGTTTTCATTTTTAACCAAAAGTTAAAGACGTTAAAAAAAATAGAAAAATATTTATAAAGATGTAAAGAAACAATATTTTTGTATAGCTGTACAATGTGTTCATATTTTAAACTGTTATAAAAGAGTCAAGGCGTTTTTAAAAATTTTAAAGTGTATAAAGTGAAAAAGTTATAGAAAGCAAAGGTTAACTCATTACTGAAGAAAAAAATAATTTTAATTATTTTATACATTATACAGTGTTCATAGTCTACAGTAATCACCTAGGCCTTCATATTCACTCGCCACTCACTCACTCAAAGCAGCTTCCAGTCCTACAAGTTTCATTCATGGTATTATAAATGCAATAGACAGGTATATCGTTTTTAAATCTTCTATATCATATTTTTACTGTACTTTTCTAGATGTGTTTAGATGTGCAAATATCATTGTGTTACACCTGCCTAGAGTATTCAGTAGGGTAACATGCTGTACAGGTCTGTACCTAGAAGTAGTAGGCTATGCCATTTAGGTTTATGTAAGTAAACCCTAGGATGTTGTCACAATGATGAAATTGTCTAATTGCACATTTCTCAGAATGTATCCCCATCATTAAGCAGTGCATGACTGTATTTTCTTCTAAAACTTTTTAAGTTGTACCTATTACATGTATAGGTCTGTGATCCATTTTAATTTTTATGTATGCTGTGAGCTAAGAGTTGAGGTTCATTTTTTTCCCCCTACAGACATCTTGTTCTTTCACTATCTTTCATTGAAAGGGCTGTCCTTTAGTCAGACATGGGGGCTTATACCTGTAATCCCAGCACTTTGGGAGGCTGAGGCAGGAAGACCACTTATGTCCAGGAGTTCGAGACCAGCCTGGGCAACACAGCAGGACCCTGTCTCTACAAAATAAAAAATTTAAAAAATTAGCCTGGACTGGTGGTGCAAGGCAGAATTGGGAGCATTGCTTGAGCCCAAGAGGTTGATGCTGCAGTGATCCATGTTCATACCACTGCATTGCAGACTGGACAACACAGCAAGACCCTGTCTCTGATTGTGTGACTTGGGTACCTCTGTTGAAAATCAGTTTGTCACACATATGGGTCTGTTTCTGCACTGTCTTATTCTGTTTAATTGATCTTTGAGTTTCTCTTTACATCAGTACCACGCTAACTTGATAATTGTTGCTTTGGGAGTATATTTTGAAATAGAGAAAAACTTTGTTCTTTTTTCAGAATTGTTTTGACTCTTCTGTGTCCTCTGCATTTTCATATAAATTTATTATCATGTCAATTTTTACAAAAAAGTCTGCTGTAACTTTGATTATGATTGCATTTAATCCATAAATCTATTTAAGAATATTGAGTCTTCTAATCCATGGACACACACTCTGTTTGCTTATGGATTTCTCTAATGTCTATTGAAACACTGTAGTTTTAGTGTATAGGTTTGTATAATTTTTCAATTTTTCTTTACCTATTCCAATTTTTTCCCATTTACAATTGTTTGCTGTTAGCATATAAGAATATAGTTGGTTTTTATATATTAACCTTGTATTCCATGGCCTTCCTAAGCTCACTTATTAGTTCTAGAAACCCTTTTTCTAAATTTCTTTGAAATGTCTATGTAGATAGTCTTGCTCTTTGTAAATAATAGCAGTTTTACTTCCATTCTTGTTTGTATGGCATGTATATATTTGTCTGTTTAATTGTCTATCTGTCTATGCATCTTTCACTGCCTGTGACTGCTAGTGCAGTGTTGAACAAAAGTAGCGAACATTGTGTTTTTGTTCCCTGTCTCGGAAAAGATTAAGTCTTTTATTATTAAGTGTGATGTTAGTCATAAGTTTTTCATATATACCTTTTATTAGGTTAAGTTCTCTCCTATTCCTAGAATATTTTACCATCAGTGGACATTGACTTTTCTTTAAAGGTTTTTGTGCCTCCATTGAGGTGATCATATGGTTGTTTATTTAGACACGGAGTCTCACTCTGTCGCCTAGGCAGAAGTGCAGTGGCGTGATCTCAGCTCACTGCAGCTTCCAGGTTTATTCCCAGGTTTAAGTGATTCTCCTGCCTCAGCCTCCCAAGCAGCTGGGACTACAGGTGCCCACCACTGCACCCAGCTAATTTTTGTATTTTTATTAGAGTTGGGGTTTCACTATGTTAGCTAGATTGCTCTCGAACTCTTACCCTCAAGTGATCCACGCACCTAGGCCTCCCAAAGTGCTGGGATTACAGACACTGTGCCCGGCTTTCTTTTTAGTTTGTACATTTGATAAATTACATTGACATTCAAATGTTAAGCCAGTCTTCATTCTTGAGATTAACCATCTTTTAGTCATAATGTATTATCATCCTTATATGTTGTTGGAATTGAATTAGAGAAGTTTTGTTAAGTTTTTACATCTATGATTTTGAGGGATATTGATCTGTACTCATCTTTTCATGTAATAGTTCTGTCTGGTTTTGTATTGTGGCAATGCTGGCCTCATGCAACGTGTTAACAACTGTTCTCGTATTTTCTGGGAGTGTTTCTATAAAATTGTAATTATTTCTTCTTTAAAGGGGTGGTGGAATTCATCAGTAACTTTTGGGAGCTCCAGTTTTTATTGTGGGATGACGGTTAACTATAAACTCGTATTTAACTTTTTTTCCCATTTTGTGTTCCGCTTAGATTATACCATTTCACATACATCCTAAGATCCTTTCACTGGTATACTTTTATTTCCTCCTTCAAGCCTTTGTACTGTTGTTACAATACATTTTACATTTGTATGTGTTATAAATGCCACTATGCATTATTATTTTTGTTTTAAACCAGTGATTATCTTTTAAGGAAATTTAAAACAGAAGAAAAATTAATTTCTGTTCCCTGACACAGTTACTATTTCCAATATTTTCTGTCCTGTGGGTAGATCCTGTTTTCCATGTGGTGTCATTTTCCTTCATTCTGAAACATTTTCTTGAACAATTTCTAGTTCAGTGTCTCTGGTGGTGAGTTCTCTAACCTACATGTCTGATAATGGCTTTATTTTCCTCTCATTTTTGGAAAGATATTTAGCTATGTATGAAATTCTAATTTGCCATTTTTACATTTCATTACTATAAAAATGTCACTGTACTTTCTTCTGGCTTATACAGTTTCTGTCAAGAAGTCTGCTTTGTTCCTCTGTGCTTCATGTGTCTTTTTTTCTGTGGTCGCTGTTAAGCTTTTCTGTTTATTACTTCCTTTCAGCTATTGATTATGATGTGCCTTGGTATGGTTTCCTTCACAGTTCTTTGGCTTAGGGTTTTTTGTTTGTTTGTTTGTTTTTTGTCTTTTTTTTTTTTGAGACGGAGTCTCGCTCTGTCGCCCAGGCTGGAGTGCAGTGACGTGATCTGGGCTCACTGCAAGCTCCGCCTCCTGGGTTCACGCCATTCTCCTGCCTCAGCCTCCAGAGTAGCTGGGACTACAGGCTCCTGCCACCAAGCCCAGCTAATTTTTTGTATTTTTAGTAGCGACGGGGTTTCACCATGTTAGCCAGGATGGTCTCGATCTCCTGACCTCGTGATCCGCCCAGCTTGGCCTCCCAAAGTGCTGGGATTACACGTGTGAGCTACCGTGCCTGGCCAGGCTTAGGGTGTTTTAAGCCTTGTGGATCTATAAGCATATAGTTTTCATTCAATTTGGAAAATTTTTGAATATTGTTCTGTAAGTATTTTGTTACTCATTTCTCTTGTTCCATCCTGAGAATCTACTTATTTACATGTTAGACATCTTGATGTTATCCCACTGTTTACTAATGTTCTCTTCTTTTTTTCAGTCTTTTCTCTGTCTTTAATTTTGGGTTTTTCCCCCTGTGTCTTTAAGTTTACTAATACTTTCTTCTCCAGTGTCTAGTAACATCTAGTATATTTTTTATTTCAGACATTTTCATCTCTTGAAGTTTGATTTGGGACTTTTTTTTTCATCTTCATCTTATGTGCTTCCCTCTACCTTTTGAACTTTTATATTTTCAACAGCTATTTTTTATATTTTCAACGGCTAATTTATTATGGTATTCGTGTAATTATATCTTATGTGTCATTTTCTCAGTCTGTTTCTATTCATTGATTAGTCTCCTGATTATAGGTTATTATTTTCCTGTTTCTTTTTATGTCCGTTAATTTTTTATTGGATGCCAGACATTGAATTTTACATTGTCAGATGCTGGAAGTTTGGGGATTAAAAAATATATTTAGGCATTATTCTTATGTATAAACAGTATGATCCTATCAGTGCTTGCTTTTAAGCTTAGTAAGACTGGTCTGGAATATCCTTTGCTCTAGCACTAACACGGCTGCACTATTGAGGCAGTATTTTTTTAAAACTCTGTTAGATGCCATAGTTTTTAGGAGATCTTTCTATTTTGCCATGTGAGAACATGAAATATTTTTGCCTTTCTGTTAGCCTGGTGATTGTTTCATCTGGTCCTTTTCAGTGGCTCTTTCCGTAGCTTTTCCCCACATACAGGTGCTGCTCAATGAGACTCCGAGGCAATCCATTGTAGATCTCTCGAGCTCTGTCTTTGGTACTGTCTTCTGTCTAGTTACCTGTCTCATGAATTCTAGATACCTTGGTCTCCCCAGTCTCTGAACTCAGTATCATTAAATCAAGGATCCTCGTAGGCTCTTTTTGTTTTGTTTTGTTTTCCTCTCCCTGTGTTACAGCCTGGACATTGTTTCTAGGTATCCAGCTGGAGTAATCATAACTATCACCTTATTCATTTCCCTTTTCTCCTGGGCAACTGTAGATCTGTGCATTTAGTTATTTATCCAATTTTAGAAAATTTCAGCCATTCTTTTTCAAATGTCTTTCTCCTTTCAGTAATTTATATTACACATGTGTTAGATTCATTGATACTGTCCAACAGGTCACTGAGGCTTTTTTTTCCCAGTTGTAATTTATATCGATTCTTTAGCTATGATTTCACATTCAGAAGTCCTTTCTCTTTCAGTGTCGAATCTGTTAATTCCATCTAGTGAATTTTTTATTTTAGATGTTGTTTGTTTTATCTCTACAGTCTCATTTGTTTCTATTTCCCTTTATCTCTTCTTTATGTTCATGTACTATTTTGAAGTCAGTATCTATTAATTCCATCATCTCTGATTTTTAGGTATGTTTCTAATGACTGATTTTTCTCTTGGTTATAGGTCATATTTTCTTGCATCTTGTCATGTTTAGTAAACGTTGATTGGATGCTAAATCATTTGTTCTTGGGGGTTTCTTTTTTTAATTTATTTCTTCTTGGCTTTATTGAGGTATAATGAACAAATAAAATTGTATAAATTTTAGGTATACAGTGTAGTGATTTGATACGTGTATGTATTGTGAAAGGATTGCCACAATTGAATTAGTGAATACGTCTGTCACCTATCAGTTACCTTTGTCTGTGTGTGATGAGAATACCTAAGACCTACTCTCTTAGCAAATTTTAAATATACAGTACAGTATCATTAACTATAGTCATGATGCTGTACATTAAATCCCCAGAACTTACCCGTAACTGGAAGTTTGTACCATTTGACAAGTATCTCCCCATTTTACTTACCTCCCTACCCCAGCTCCTGGCAACCATCATTCTACTTTCTGTTTCTGTGAGTTTGATTCTTTTAGATTCCCCATATAAGTGGATCATACAGTATTTGTCATCCCTGACTTATTTTACTTAACATAATGCCCTTGAGGTTCATCCATGTTGTCACAAATGGTAGGACTTCCTTCTTTTTATGGCTGAATAATATTCCATTGTATAAATATACCACATTTTCATTATCCATTTATCTGCTGATAGATGTTGCTTCTTCATATCCAAGAAATCTATATATATAGAGTGTTTCCATTCTTGGAATAGAGATACCTGCAGTCCTGCCTTAATTACAGTGAATAATGCTACAGTGTATGTGGGAGTACAGATATCTATTTGAAATATTGATGTCATTTCCTTCAGATAGATATATATACCTAGAAGTGAGATTGCAGGATTATGTGATAGTTCTATTTTTCGTTTCTTATGGAGCCTCCATACTGTTTTCCATAATGGCTATACCAATTTACATTCCCACCAACAGTGCACAAGGGTTCCCTTTTCTCCACATCCTCACCAGCACTTGCTATCTCATCTTTTTTATAATAGCCATCCTAACAGGTGTGTGGTAATATCTCATTGTGGTTTTGATTTGCATTTCTCTGTTGACTAGTGATCTATCTTGAGCACCTTTTCATGTATCTGCTGGCCACGTGTATATTTTCTTTGAAAAGTATATTCAGGTCCTTTCCCTATTTTTTGATCAGATTTTTTTTCTTTTTTCTTTTTTTTTCTTTTTTTTTTTTTTTTTTGAGATGGAGTTTTGCTCGTGTTGCCTAGGTTGGAGTGCAGTGGCACAATCTCGGCTCACTGCAACCTCTGCCTCCCGGGTTCAAGCGATTCTCCTGCCTCAGCTTTCCGAGTAGCTGGGATTACAGGTGCCTGCCACCACGCCTGGCTGATTTTTGTATTTTTAGTAGAGACGGGGTTTCACCATGTTGGTCAGGCTGGTCTCAAATTCCTGACCTCATGATCCATCCTCCTCAGCCTCTCAAAGTGCTGGGATTGCAGGCGTGAGCCACTGTGCCCAGCCGAGTTTTGTATATATTTGGGATATTGACCTCTTATCAGATATATTATTTGCAAGTATTTTCTCCCATTCCATAGGTTTTTGACTCTGTTGATTGTTTTCTTTGCTTCACATAAGCAAAGAGATAAATAGTAGTCCCACCTATTTATCTCTGCCTTTGTTGCTTGTGCTTTTGGTGTCATATCCAAGAAATACTTGCCAAGACCAATATCAAGGAGGTTTTTTTGGTATGTTTTCTTCTAGGAGTTTTATAGTTTCAGGTCTTACGTTTAAGTTTTTAATCCATTTTGAGTTGGTTTTTTGATATGATGAAAGATAAGACTCCATTACATTCTTTTGCATGTGTATATCCAGTTTTCCTAGCACTATTTATTGAAGAGATTGTTCTTTCTCCCTTATGTATTTTCAGTACCCTTGTCAAATGTTTGTTGACCATATAGGCATGGATTTATTTTTGGCTTTTGATTCTCTTCCATTGATTAGATAATTTGAGTTTTACGTGAGTTACTGGATTTTGTTTTCTTCTGTCAGAGTGTTAGTTTTTATTCTGGAAGGCAGTATTTACAAATATGATTGATATTTCAGTATTGATGTTAGCTTTGTTCGTGTAAGTTCAGGTTTCACTCTGACTCTTGAGATATCTACTGAATGCCTGAGAGTTCAGTAATGACTCTTCTCTGACTGCCTAAAAATTGAATGTCTCTCAGCTCTGCGTGAGCTCTAAGAGCTACTACATATTTACAGCTTTCCTTTCCTTCTCTGCTTGTCCTCATAAAGTTAAACCCTACACATGCATTGCTTAGTATTCAACTGCAGACTCAACTGTGCAGATTCTGTATAGCTTCCTCCTCATTAGTGTTCTGTCCTGCAAATGCCATCTACCTCATCATCCTCAAAATCTGATGTTTATCTTTTCAGCAGTGAAACCCTTGAATTAGGTTTGTGATTTTTCTTCCTCAATAATGTGTCAGAAAGTGCCCCCAGACAAAAGGTGGATAATCATATGGCTCACCTCATTTGTTTCTGTTGTAACAGGTACCATCGTCATGCACTTCCTCTTGTCCAGTATCTAATGAGAGTTCTTTTATATATTTGCTCAGTTTTCATCTTCTGTTTTAGATATGCCCATCAAATGTTTAGGGCAGTTGGGTAAGTTCAGTCCTGTTGACTTTTCACTCATATATTCTGGTTCTTAACTAGTAGTTAACTAAAAAATATAAAAAATTTGAAATTTAAAATACTAAAAAATCTGAAATTTATCGTATTATATTGTGAGGTAAAAATCTAATTTTTCTTCAACCTGGTTGGAAGGCCGTTTTCACATTTTTCTCAATGTATATACTTCTGAAAATATCCTTGTGTAGAAGATGGCTTCTATATTTTTATGTATGTATGTATGTATTTATGTATGTATTTTTGAGACGGAGTCTTGCCCTGTCACCTGGGCTGGAGTGCAGTGGTGCAGTCTCGGCTTACTGCAAGCTCCACCTCCCGGGTTCAACCAATTCTTGTGCCTCAGCCTCCTGAGTAGCTGGGATTACAGCGCCCGCCACCATGCCCAGCTATTTTTGTGTGCTTTTGGTAGGGACGGGGTTTCGCTGTGTTGCCAGGGCTGGTTTCGAATTCTTGAGCTCAGGCAATCTGCCAGTCTCGGCCTCCCAAAGTGCTAGGATTACAGGCGTGAGCCACTGTACCCAGCGTATATTTTTATTTTTTAAGGAAATTTCTAGGAGAGCAACTACCGAACTTTAAAAATTATCTTGCTATCTATTGCCAGATTGTTTTGCAAAGACTGTCTGTTTACATACTAGCCACCAGTGTATAAAGATGCTTATCTCACCTCACTTTCACTGACAATACTAATTTTTCATAAATTTAAAATTGCCCTTTTTTAAGTTTTGTCTCTGTTACATTGATTATTACAAGGTGGCCTATGTTCATATACATTAATAATTTGTAGCCCTCTCAGGTTAATTGTACCTTTACCCAATTTTTTGTGTTTTAGTCTTTTAATTTTTTTTTATATTAAGAATATGAGCTTTGTCACATGTTATAAATACTCCATTTTATTTCTATCTTTGCTACTTTATATGGCTAAATCTACTGGATTTTCCCTTCATTATTCCATTTCTTTTTTATTTTTTTCAACTTTTATTTTAAATTCAAGAAGGTACTTGTGCAGGTTTGTTACCTGGGTATATGGCCATGATGCTGAGGTTTGGCATACAAATGATCCCATGATCAGGTACTGAGCATGGTACCCAACAGTTAATTTTTCCACCCTTTTTAACCCCTCCCCTCCTCTAGTAGTTTCCAGTTTCTATAGTTACCATATTTATGTCCATGAGTACCAATTGATTAGCTCCTACTTATAAGCAAGAGCAAGCAGTATTTGGTTTTCTGTTCCTGTGTTAATTCACTCCGGATAATGGCCTCCAGCTGCATCCATGTTGCTGCAAAGGACCGGATTTTGTTCTTTTTACGACTGCATAGTATTCCATGGCATATATATATATACACCACATTTTCTTAATCCGGTCTATCCATGTCTTTGCTGTTGTGAATAGTTCTGCAATGAACATGCAAGTGCCTGTGTCTACTTTATAGAACAATTTGTTTTCTTTTGGGTACACACTCAGTAATGTGATTGCTGGGTCAAATGGTAGCTTTATTTTAAGTTCTTTGAAAAATCTCAGAATTGGTTTCCATAGTGGCTGAATTAATGTACATTCCCACCAACAGTGTTACAAGCATCCCCTTTTCTCTGCAGCCTTGTCAACATGTTATTGTACTATTAGACCGATTATTGTTTGACATTTTAATGGCAGCCATTCTGACTGGTATGAGATGATATCTCATTGTGGTTTTGATTTACATTTCCCTGAAGATTAGTGATGTGCAGCATTTTTCATATTTGGTGGCTGCTTGTATGTCTTCTTTTGAGAAATGTCTGTTCATGTCATTTGCTCATTTTTTATTGGGTTACTTGTGTTTAGCTTGTTCAATTGTTTAACTTTCTTATACACTTTGGATATTAGACCTTTGTCAGATAGTTTATGAATATTTTATCCCATTCTGTAGGTTTACCCTGTTGATAGTTTCTTTTGCTGTACAGATTCTCTTTAGTGTAATTAGGTCTCACTTGTCGATTTTTGGTTTTGTTCAATTGCTATCGAGGACTTAGTCATATAATTTTTTCCAGTGCCAATGTCAAGAATGGTGTTTCTTAGATTTTCTTCTAGGATTCTTATAGTTTGAGGTTTTACGTTTAAATCTTTAACCAATATTGAGTTAATTTTTGTATATGGTAAAAGATAGGGGTCCAGTTTCATTCCTCTGCGTATGGCTCACCAGCTGTCGAAGCACCATATATTGAATAAGGAGTCCTTTCCCCATTGCTTATTTTTGTCAGCCTTGCCAAAGATTAGATTATTGTAGGTGGCTGGCTTTATTTCTGGGCTCTCTATTATGTTCCATTGGCCTTTGTGTCTGTTTTTTTACAGTACCATGCTGTTTTGGTTGCTGTAGCTTTATAGTATGGTTCGAAGGCAGGTAATTTGATACCTCTAGCTTTCTTCTTTTTGATTAGGATTGCTTTGGCTATTCTGGCTCTTTTTTGGTTTCTTGTTAATTTTGTAGTTTTTTTTTTCCAGTTCTGTGAAAAATGATGTTGGTAGTTTGGTAGGTATAGCCTTGAATCTGTAGATTGCTTTGGGCAGGGAAATATGGCTATTTTACTGATATTGATTCTTCCAGTCCCTGAGCATGGAACGTTTTTTCATTTGTTTGTGTCATGTATGATTTCTTTTAACGGTGTCTTGTAGTTCTCCTTGTAATGATCTTTTACCTTCTTGGTTAGATGTATTCCTGGATTTTTTTGTGTGTGTGGCTATTGTAAATGATTTGGCTCTCAGCTTGGATGTTATCAGTATATAGAAATGCTACTGATTTTTGTACATTGATTTTCTCTCCTGAAACCTTGCAAAAATCATTTATCAGTTCTAATAGCCTTTTGGTGGAGCCCTTAGGGTTTCCTGAGTATCGAATCATTATCAGTAAAGAGAGATAGTTATACTTTTTCTTTGCCTATTAGGATGCCTTTTTATTTCTTTCTTTTACCTGATTTTCTCTGGCTAGCACTCTCCACTAATATATTGACTAGGAGTGGTGAGAGGGGGCATCCATATCTTGTTCCAGTTCTCAAGGGGAATGCTTCCAGTTTTTGCCTGTTCAGTATGATGTTGGCTGTGGGTTTGTCATAGATGGTGCTTATTATTTTCAGGTATGTTCCTTTGATGCCTAGTTTGTTGAGGGTTTTTATCATAAAGTGATGTTGGATTTCATTGAAAGCTAATTTGGTTTATGTGGTGAATCACATTTATTGATTTGTATATGTTGAACCACCCTTGCATCCCAGGAATGATGCCTACTTGATCATGGTGAATTAACTTTTTGATGTGTTTTTCAATTCAGTTTGCTAGTATTTTGTTGAGGATTTTTGCACCTGTGTTCATCAGGGATATAGTCCTGTGATTTTCTTTCTTCATTGTGTCTTTGCCAGGTTTTGGTATCAGGATGTTACTGGCTTTGTAAAATCATTTTTTTGGAATAGTTTCAGTAGAATTTATACCACCTCTTCCTTGTACCTTACATAGAATTCAACTGTGAATCCGTCTTGTTTGGGACTTTTTTGGTTGGTAGGTTTTTTTTATTACTGACTCAGTTTTGGAACTCGATATTAGTCTGTACAGTGTGTCAATTTGTTCCTCATTCAGTCTTGGTAAATTGTGTGTTTCCAGGAATTTATCCATTTCCTCTAGATTTTCTTGTTTGTATGTATAGACACATAGCCTCTGAGGACCTTTCGTATTCCTGTGGGATAAGTTGTAATGTAATCTTTGTCATTTCTAATTGTGGTTATTTATATCTTCTCTCTTTTCCTTTGTTAATCTCACTAGCAGTCTAGCAATCTTCTTTATCCTTTCAAAGAACCAACTTTTGGCTTCATCATTTCATTATGTGGATTTTTAGGTCTTAATTTCGTTCCATTCTGCTCTGATTTTAGTTATTTTTTTTTCTTCTGCTAGCTTATGGGTTAGTTTGTTCTTGTTTTCCTGGTTCCTCTAGATGTGATGTTAGAGTATTAATTTGAGATCTTTCTAATGTTTTGAGGTAGGCATTTAGTGCTTTCAACTTTCCTCTTAACACTGCTTTTGCTGCGTCCCTGGAATTTTGGTGTGTTGTGTACCTATTTTCATTTATTTCAAATACTATTTTTATTTCTGCCTTGATTTTGTTGTTTACCCAGAAGACATTCAGGAGCAAGTTGTTTAATTTTCATGTAACTGTATGGTTTTGAGATACCTTCTTGGTATTGATTTCTGTTTTTATTCCACTGTGGTCCAAGATTATGGTTAGTATGATTTCAGGGTTTTTTTGTTTGTTTTTCTTTTTCTTTTTCTTTTTTTTTTCTTTTTTTTTTTTTTTTGAGACTTACTTTAAGGACGAGCATGTGGTCAGTCTTGGAGTATTGTTCCATGTGCACCTGAGAAGAATGTATGTTCTGTGGCTGATGGGTAGAGTATTCTGTAGATGTTTTTCAGGTTCAGTTGGTCAAGTGTTGAGTTTAAGTCCAGAATGTGTGACTTTTCTGCCTGAATGATCTCACTCATGCTAGTAGGGTGTTGAAGTCCCCCACTATTATTGTGTTGCTGTCTATGTCTTTTTGTAGATCTAGTAGTACTTGTTTTATGACTCTGGGTTCTCCAATATTGGGTGCATACATATATGTGAGATATATATATGGAAGATATATGTGTGTGTGTGTGTGTGTATATATATATATATATATATATATACACACACATATACATGGAAGAGAGAGATATATATATGGAATATATATACATACTGGAAGAGAGAGAGAGATATATATATATATGGAAGATATATATGTGATAGTTAAGTCTTCTTGTTGAATTGAGCCCTTTATCATTATGTAATACTCTTCTTTGTCTTTTTTTTTTTTAACTGCTGTTAGTTTGAAGTCTGTTTTATCAGATGAAAGAATAGTGATTCCTGCTCTTTTTTGTTTTCCATTAGTGTGGTAGCTCTTTCTCCAAACCTTTACTTTGAGCCTATAGGTGTCATTATATATAAGATGGGTCTCTTGAAGACAAGCCAGATGGATGAGTCTTGTTTTTTTATCCAACATGCCACTCTGTGCCTTTTAAGTGAGGTGTTTAGACCATTTACATTCAAAGCTAATACTGTTATGTGATGTTTTGATCCTATCATGAAGTTATTAGCTGGTTGCCTTACACTTTCTAGTGTGTGTTTTTGCTTTATAGGGTCTGTGGGCTATGTACTTACATGCATTTTTGTGGTAGCATTTATTTTTCTTTCATTTCCATATTTAGAATTCCCTTAAGGATCTCTCATAAGGCTGGTCTAGTTGTAACAAATTCCTTTGTGCTTGTTTGTCTGGAAAAGATTTTACTTCTTATTCACTTATGAAGCTTGGTTTGGCAGGTTATGAAATTCTTGGTTGGAATTTCTTTTTTTTTTTTTTTTTTTTTTTTGAGAAAGCTAAAAATAGGTCCCCAGTCTCTCCTGGCTGGTAAGGTTTCTGCTGAGAAGTTGACGGTTGGCCTGATGACATTCCCTCTGATCTGCCCTTTTTCTCTAGCTGCCTTTAAGATTTTTTTTTCTTTAGTGTTGACCTTGGACAGTCTGGTGATAATATCCTTAGTGATGTTTATTTTGCATAGTATCTCACAGTTGTACTCTGGATTTCTTGTATCTGGATATCTGTCTCCCTAACAAGATTACCAAAGTTTTCTTGAGTTATTTCCTCAAATATATTTTCCACATTGTTAACTTTTTCTTCTTCTCTCTCAGGAATACCAGTAATTTGTAGGTTTTATCACTTTCTGTAATTCCATATTTCTTGAAGACTTTATTCATTTTTTAAAATTATTTTTTCTTTATTTTTGTCTGACTGGATTAGTTTAAAATACTGGTCTTCAGGCTCTGCAAGTCTTTCTTCTGCTTGGGCCGGTCTATTGTTAAAGCTTTCAGTTGTATTTTGAAATTCCTTATGTGAATTTTTTCAATTCCAGAAAGTCTGATTGATTTCTCTTAAAGATGCTTATTTCTTCCTTCATTTCCTGGATTACTTTAGAAGTTTTTTTTTGTTGATTTTCAACTTTGTCTTGGATCTCATTGGGCTTACTGCAATCCCTACTTTGAATTCTTTATCTGTCATTTCTGAGTTTCCATTTTGGTTAGGGACCATTTCTGTAGAGCTAGTGTGATCCTTTGGTGGTATCACTACATTCAGATTTTTCATAGTGCTGGAATTCTTACGCTGCTTTTTTCTTATCTGGAGACCCTAACACTTGTAACTTCTGTAATTATTTTCATGCAGGTAGGATTTTTTCTTTCTTTTTCTTTCCCTATAATGTTATTATATATTTTTTTCTCCTTTCCCTTTTCTTCCCCTCCCTTCAGAATGTGACTATAGAGAATTCTGGGTAGGGTCTTTGACTTTGTTTCTTTAGTCCTCTGTGCTGCTTTTGGCCAATTTTATTTTGGGCTGTGGCATTTGACCTGCAAGCCTGTAGATGGCACTTAGAGGTAAGAGCTAACTGCAGCCAACATGGCTTAGTGTATACCTTGATACTTGTTTACTGGCAGAAGCTCTTTGTTGCCACAGGCTATGGCCAATTCATGGAATGTACCATGGTCTGAGCTCACTGCCCAGCCCCAGGGTCAGGGGGTTGGCAGAGGGCAGGAATGGCAGGGCCAGACCTGACAGGTCCACCTACAGGTCCCCTGATGACAGACACAGGCACTAGTGCCGAGGGAGAATGCAGTGGGTGGCCACCAAGGGCCCAGAGATGTGCCTAGTAGTGTAGCTGGGAAACCTCCTCAGCCCCAAGTTCTCTGCACAGGGATAGGGGATGGTCTAAACTTCTAGTCCAGGAGAGTAGGTGCTCAAGATGCCTAGAGCATGGAGCAGAGACCCCCTGCACTAAGATCTCTGCATAGGAGGGGTGGGGTGACTCAAACTCCAGAAGCAGGCAAGGAGGTGCTCTGAATGCCTAGGGATCTTCCTGGGTATGGAGCAGAGAGAGCTCTGCTTCACCATAACGTTATGTCCAGGAGGAGTGCGGTGGCTCAGGCTACTCAACTAGGCAAATGGTTACTCTGGATGCCAGAGATGTGCTTGGAGATGGAGCAGCAAGGGCCCTACTGCACCACAATCTCAGGAGAACAGAGTGGGTTACCCGGCAATGGCACATGCGAATCTGTTCCAGGTTGCCAAGCTGAACGTGACTGCAAGTTTTGCAGCCCAGGAGAAACTGCAGCTGTAGCGGCTCTCCTGCTGCCCCAGGCTTGAAAGTGGGGAAAGCACAATTCTAGCCCTGTTGTTGGGGTACTTTCCACAGTTTTGACTGTGAAGCCCCTATCCCATTCCAGAGCAGGTGTTTTGATCTCTGGTCCAAGACTGACATGCCTGTGCAGCCACACTGCTGGGTCACCAAGGAATGGCTGAGTTTTTATGTGCCCAAATTTAAAACATTGTCCTGCTCTTTTTCCCGGGTCTGGAAAAATGCCTTCAGCTTTTTCCGTCACAGTGACTCCAGGCCACTCCCCAAGTTAGCTCCAGGACTGGGAGAAACAAAGTGCTCTCCCTTGGCCTAGGTTGCTTGGATCCCCAGTGGAAGGGTGAGTCACAGAGGGAGGCTCCTTGCCTCTCTCATGCACTGGGGCTTCACTTAACTTTTATCAGCTGGATGCCGTCAGTGGGGCTGTTTGCTGGCCTTCTCCTCTCTGGGATCTGGAGTGTACGTCATGATTCCAGTAGATTCCTGTTTTCCTTCTTGAATTAAAGCTCACAGAGTTTATCTTTATCTGCTATCTTGCTATGTCCAAGTGGCTGAGGCGTGCAGAAAGCCTCTAACCCACCCTCTTGGGGAAAAGCAAAAAGTCTATTTCTTCCATTTCTTTTATGCTTAGAAAATTCTTCTTCATCTTGAGACTAGATAACCACTTACACATATTTTCTAGTTTTTTAATTTTATATTGGACTAATACATATAAATTTTATTTTGTTATGAGGTGAAAATTAAATTTTATGTTTCTTCAGAGTTAATTATTGTTGCACTATTTGTCATTTTCCTGTATACTTTATCATATATTGTCATGTTCAAGTATTCTGTATTAAATTTTTATAACCTAAAATAACCTGTTCCTTGCTTCATTATTTCTTTGGTGTTTCATTTGTGTACCTATTCCATATGAATTGTAGTTATATAAGTCAATTTCTTTAGACAAACCTTTTTCTTGAAGGCACTATTTAATATGTTGCACAGAAACCTTCTGGTTCAATAATACCTTGGCTCACCTCATCCATTTTTTTAAAGGAATGGTGTATTATTTCTACCTTCACATTCTCTTTTCAGCCCACCTAAATATGACAACTTACCTTTGAAAAGTAACAGATGACCTAATTCCTAAGTACAGCAAATGTTCCTGTCTTTCTGAAACTTTATTTTCCCTTCACTTCTTGTAGTCTTGCTTCCTTTTTTTATATCTCTTAGTATTCCATCTGAATGTCCTGTTCTGCTTTTTTCTGTCCTATGTATAGTAGTACCCTAAGATTCTGCCTTCACTTATCTTTTCAGTTTTTACTGAATTCCTAGACTATTCTTTGCTTTCTCAGTCTTAACAATATCCTTTCTATGAATGATTCCCATATCTACCTTCATGAACTTGCAAAGCTGTGTTATCAAATGCCTATTTAGATATCAGCATGTCAAAATAAAACCCATTGCTCCTCTGTCCCCATTCCCATTCTTTTCCTTTATATCAGCATCTACTCAGTCAGCCATAGAGAAACCTCAACATCGTTGATTTCTCCCTTGACCCAAGTGGTAAAAGCTAGTTCCCTCTGGAATATTGATTCTCTTTATATGTCTGTTACTACTACCTTAGCTGATGTCCCTCAGAAGCTCTCTGCAAGCTCAAATATAACTTCTGATATTTCCAAACATGCTTATTCTTTGAATGTCTTTTCTGCTTTATAATAATTACCGTAACTTTAGTAGAAAAGTTTATGTATCTGGCTCTTGTAACCAGATAGTGATGTCCTTGCAGATTGGTACGGTTTTCTCTCATTGTGTCTGCAGCTTTTCATAACAGTGGTGATCAGTAACTTTTTTGTTGTACTTTAAAAATTGTTTAGCAGTCTGTAGTCTCAGGCATTTTTAGTTGATTCTCTCATTGCTACCCGAATTGCCTTTTTAACATTATGCTAATTATTTTATTTTATTTTTAAGTTCCAGGGTACATGTGCAGGATGTGCAGGTTTGTTACATAGGTAAATGTGTGCCATGGTGGTTTGCTGCACCTATCAACCCATCACTTAAGTATTAAGCTCAGCATGCATTAGCCATTTTTCCTGATGATCTCCCTCCCTTGGCTCTGCCCCACAAGCCCTAATGTGTGGTGGTGTTCTCCCTGTGCCCATGTATTCTCATTGTTCAGCTCCCACTTATGAGTGAGAACAAGCGGTGTTTGGTTTTCTGTTCCTGCGTTAGTTTGCTTAGGATAATGGCTTCCAGCTCCATTCATGTCCCTGCAGAGGACATGAGCTCATTCCTTTTTATGGCCGCATAGTATTTCTTGGGTTATATGTACCACATTTTCTTTATCCATCTATCATTGATGGGCACTTGGGTTGATTCCATGACTTTGCTATTGTGATAGTGCTGCAGTGAACATATGCATGCACGTATCTTTGTAGTAGAATGATTTGTATTCCTTTGGGTATATACCCAGTAATGAAATTGCTGGGTCAAAGGGTATTTCTGGTTCTGTGTCTTACAGCAATTGCCACACTTGTCTTCCACAGTGGCTGAACTCATTTACATTCCCACCAGCATTGTAAAAGTGTTCCCATCTCTCTGTAGCCCCACTAGCATCTATTGTTTCATGATTTTTTAATAATCACTATTCTGACTAGTGTGAGATGCTATTTCATTGTGGTTTTGATTTGCATCCTCTAATGATCAGTGGTGTTGAGCTTTTTTTCATGTGTTTGTTGGTCACATAAATGTCTTCTTTTGAGAAGTGTCTGCTCATGTCCTTTGCCCACTTTTGAATGGGGATTTTTTTTTCTTGTAAATTTGTTTAAGTTCCTTGTAGACTCTGGATATTAGACCTTTGTCAGATGGCTAGGTTGCAAAAATTTTCTCCCATTCTGTAGGTTGTCTGTTCACTCTGATGGTAGTTTCTTTTGCTGTGCAGAAGCTCTTTAATTAGATCCCACTTGTCAATTATTGCTTTTGTTGTAATTGCTTTTGATGTTGTCATCATGAAACATTGCCCGTACCTATGTCCTGAATGGTATTGCCTAGATTTTATTCTAGGTTTTTTATAGTTTGGGGTTTTACATTTGTCTTTAATCAATCTTGAGTTAATTTTTGTATAAGGTATAAGGAAGGGGTCCAGTTTCAGTTTTCTTTATATGGCTAGCTAGTTCTCCCAACACCATTTATTAAATAGGGAGTGCTGGCCAGATGCAGTGGCTCATGCCTGTAATCCCAGCGCTTTGAGAGGCTGAAGTGGGCAGATCACTTGAGGTCAGGAGTTTGAGACCAGCCTGGCCAACATGGTGAAACCCCATCTCTACTAAAAATATAAAAATTAGCCCAGTGTGGTAGCACATGCCTGTAATCTCAGCTACTCAGGAGGCTGAGGCAGGAGAATTGCTTGAACTTGTGAGGTAGAGGTTTCTGTGAGCCAAGATCATGCCACTGCACTCCAGCCTGGGTGACAGAGTGAGACTCTGTCTCAATCATTCAATCAAGCAATCAATCAATAGGATGTCCTTCCCTATTGCTTGTTTTTGTCAGGTTTGTTAAAAATCAAATAGTTGTAGATATTTGGTCTTATTTCTGAGTTCTCTATTCTGTTCCATTGGTTTATGTGTCTGTTTTTGTTACCAGTACCATGCTGTTTTGGTTACTATAGCCTTGTAATATAGTTTGAAGTCAGGTAGTGTGATGGCTCCAGCTTTGTTCTTTTTGCTTAGGATTGTCTTGGCTCTGTGGGTTCTTTTTTGGTCCCATGTGAATTTTAAAATAGTTTTTTTCTAATTCTGTGAAGAATTTCCATGGTAGTTTATTGTGAATAGCATTGAATCTATAAATTACTTTGGCCAGTATGGCCATTTTCCCAATATTGATTCTTCATATTCATTAGCCTGGAATGTTTTCCCATTTGTCTGTGTTCTCTCTTATTTCCTTGAGCCGTAGTTTGTAGTTTTCCTTGAAGAGGTCCTTCACTTCCCTTGTTAGCTGTATTTCTAGGTATTTTATTCTCTTTGTGGCAGTTGTGAATGAGAGTTCATAAATGATTTGGTTCTCTGTTGTTGTTGTATAGGAATGCTTATGACTTTTGCACATTGATTTTCTATCCTGAGCCTTTGCTGAATTTGCTTATCAACTTAAGCTTTTGGACTGAGAGGATGGGATTTTCTAGATACAGGATCATGTCATCTGCAAACAAAGACAATTTTACTTCCTCTCTTCCTATTTGAATGCTCTTTATTTTTTTCTCTTGCCTGATTGCCCTGGCCAGCATTTCCAATACTATGTTGAGTAGGAGTGGTGAGAGAGGGCATCCTTGTCTTGTGCTGGTTTTCAAGGAGAATGCTTCTGGATTTTGCCCATTCAGTGTGATATTTGCTGTGGGTTTGTCATAAATAGCTCTTATTATTTTGATGTATGTTCCTTCAATATCTAGTTTACTGAGAATTTTTAACATGAAGCGATGTTGAATTTTTTTGAAGGCCTTTTCTGTGTCTATTGAGATAATCACGTGGTTTTTGTGTTTAGTTCTGTTTATATTATGAATTACATTCATTGATTTGCATATGTGGATCCAAATTATGCTAATTTTTAAGCTAAAATTCTTTCATACTTATTATCTACAGAAAAAAAATTCATGCTCTTGTCATGTTAGTAAAGATCCTAACCAATCTGATCTCATCTTTTTTTTCCAGAAGTCCTATTATTTCTCTGATTATATATTATTTTTTGGCTACATGTGTTCCCTACATGTGTTTTCTTGCCATTGCTATTTTTCCTCTTTAGTATTAATGCTTTCTAAATTTTTATTAATCACCTACTATGTGCAGGTACTGTCCTAGGCTGTGTTGGAAATACAAATGGATAAAACTTGAGTAGCACTTTTTTGGAGATTTTTCCCTTAAATTTTCCATTATGAAAAACCTATTCTTCAAAACTTAGGTAAAGCTTTTTCTTATCTATCAAGTCTCCTTACATGATGCCAGCACAGATTAATCCCTCTTTGCCTTCAAAGTACTTTTAATATCTGAGTTATAAAATGTTATCACAACCCTCTTTTTTTAAAAATCAATACCTGTGTCCTCTTCATTCATATTGCTTAATGGCAGGAATTGTCTTTTGTTTAAACCACTTTATTGAGTTATGATTGATATACAAAATGCTGTATATATTTAATCGGAACAACTTGATGGGTTTGGAGTTAAGTGTATACTCATGAGAATGTTACCGCACTCAATGCTTGGAATCATAAGAGATTCTGTCTTATCACTGTATTCCCTCTTTCTCTTCTCCAGTGCCCAGCAGTGACTTTAAAATAATTGATACTCACTAAATGAATGCTGAATTGAAAAGTTGGTTCAGAGCCAAAGTAGAAACTGAGAAGGATTAGCCAGAGAGTTAGGAGGCAAATCAGGAGAGAGTCATATTACCAAAGCCCAGAAATGTGTTTCAAGAAAGAGGGCAGTAGGTGATGTCCTAAGCTTCAGATTTGGAAGAAGCAGTGCAGACTGTAAATAGATTATTGGATTTGGCGATTAAGAGGTTGTTGGTTATCTTAACAAGTTCCATAAAGTAGTAAGGGTACACATCAGATAGCAGACTGAGAAGTAAATTCTTACCCTTAAATATAATTTTTAGCTGATATATTTATAGAAATTGGCTGGCAGACACATTGAAGATACATAGTCTAAATAAAGATCTAGAATCTTGCATATATTATATCGATTTAGGGAGGATCCATATTTTTTGTAAAGTTAAATGAGTGGGTAAGTAGGCTTGACATTCTTTTAAGAAAATTTAGAAACCTAATCACTATTTTCATCTCATTAGAAGACTACTGCAACTCCACATAGAGATCACACGATCTTTTCATCAAAGTTAGTGATATTTTGCATGGCAGAAATTATTTTAACCTGGAAAACATGGCTCCTTCTACTTTCTATCCTTGTTAGGCTGGTAATACATTGATAATATATATCTAACTATATGAAATGAATGAATTTTTTAAAATATCCCTGAGTAATTGTATAAATGACTTGATTTTTCACATACTGTATTTGATTATTTGGAAGACATACTTAACATTTCTGTAATCAGAATGCCTTTTAGAATAGATCATGTGTTATAGTTTTAACTGACAACCTTTTTTACCTTGGTGTTTTATAAAATGATGATGCAGTCCCAATTCGTAGCATATGAGATTTGATAAAATACAGTAATATAGTAGGAAGCATTAAAGTTTAGAGACTGCAAAATATTTTAGTTTTAATATAATTATTGTTGTGCTACACTTTTTGGGGCTATAGGTGATATTTTCTCTCTCTCTCTGTTTACTATGCCAATGGGTCATGCATAAAGCTTATCTTATAATATGCTGTTAAGTGAAGGTGGGGGTGGGAATGGGGAAGAATGAATTTATAGGGAACCTGTTTTATGTTACTTGAAATAATGACTTTGGTGTATGCAGAACAAATCTTAGTTAACCATAATTTTCACCAATTTTGTAGAAACATTATGAGTCAATGATCCATGTAAGGGAAAAATTTCTGATCTTGCAGTCAAGGGTACATTGGCTGATTGGTTCATTTTTTTCACAGACATGTATTGTGTATCTATTAATAACCATGATACCTGGCAATATACTCAGCACTGTAAACAATCTTTCATTGTTCTGAGCATGTTTCAACAACAAAGATTAATAGTCAATTCACAGTGCCTGAAACCTGCTCTTTCTTCATGTATGTTGTCCAATTGAGATAATATTTGTAGTTTCTTTAATGAAGAAGTGGCCTATTGGAGAGCCGTGTACTTGGTCACAGTAAGCACCCAGTGAATGTTTGTTGACTATCGAATGGTATATGTTTTAAGAGGTTGACTAGGAAATGGATGGGCTTATAGTTTTAGTGATAATATGAGAAAGGACTGGCATTGTAGCTAATTATTATTGAAAATAGAATATACATTGAGAACTGCAATAGGAATAATGGATGTTTCTCAGTTCATTTTGGGCATTACTAAAATAAATTAAAAACATAAAACCTTAAAGTTTCTCACCATAGAAAATGTCAAATTATTTTCTATTTTCAATAATAATTTGACTTTGAAAATATTTTTAGAGATATCATGATTAATCAAAAATTGTAGAATATAACAAGTTCGCGTAAATCAGTTTCAGCAAATTGACAGTCTTGTCTTTGAAATCAAATAATTAAGTGAAAATATATCTGTGCTTGTGTTCATTTATTTTAGTAATATCTCAATACCTAATCCTTGAAGAGTGAAGCAACAGTATAGTGAGGGGGAAACTGCAATCTGATGATGCATACCTTTTTCCTCTGGTAACTGAAGGTTAAATGGGTAGCAAGCAGAATGCCTTAAACAAGATTGGTATATTGATTAAAACGCTGATTTAACAGCTCGCAGTTTCCCCTTGGAAACCTGGAAAAGATAAGCCAGCTGCTGTCTAAGAGTGCTCAGTGTCCACTGAGAGTACACTATCTATCATCACAATATGGTGATGAGAGGTGTTTTATGTTTGTGTTAATTTCCCCCACTAAATCAGTAATTATTACAATCCTGTCCCTGCTGTTTACCCTGCAGCTGTTTTTCCATTTGTCGAGAGAGCGGGTGTTCTCTGAGGACCGCACACGTTTCTATGGTGCAGAAATTGTCTCTGCCTTGGACTATCTACATTCCGGAAAGATTGTGTACCGTGATCTCAAGGTAAAAAAAAAAAAAAAGTAATCAAAATTTGTTTTTGCAGAGACTATAGGGACAAACATAAAGTAATTACAAAGTTATACAGTTTTGAGAAAAGCAGATTTAGTTGGGAAAAAAGCACTATGTTTAAAAATTTAGTTCACTACATTTGAAGGAAATTTTATTCACTAACATGTATGTAGTTGATTTATGTGTGAGTTTTTGATTTGCAAAGCAATTTCTGCCCGACTGCTTGGATCAAATAAAAATGTTAAACGTGATTAAGTCAAATAAATTCACAAGTTACACTTAAAACAAGTTTTATTATGTTTACAGAAATGTTTTATGAAGAAACATAGTAAGACTATTGGAAGGAACATATTCATTTTGATTTTAGCATTAACTTTGGGTGGTTTTAAATACCTGAAGCATTTTAATATAATAACCATTTATTAATGTGCCTCGTGTTTTATTTATGAAAGCACTCTATTTTTTCTGTTGGTAATAGTGTTTTGACTGCTGTAAGTTCCATTATGATGAGACCCTTAGGGTAGCTCAGGATTGGCAAACTTTCTATAAAGGGCAGATAAAATAATTTAGGCTTTGCTGTTCGTGTATAGTCTCTTTTGTAAACTACTCAACTCCATCATTGTAGGGTAAAAGCAGCCTCAGATAGTATGTAAATGAATATGTTTGGCTATGTTCCAGTAAACAAAATAGGCGATGGGCTCAATTTAGTCCACAGGTTGTCATTTGTTGATCCCTGGAGTAACTCATACAAGGTAATAGTAATTCTCATGACAGTGTTATGAATTAGGTTGGCGACATTAAAGGAATTTGTACCACGACACATTTTGAATAAATTCTAGATGTTAGTCTTTCTTTTGTAAGAAGCAAATTGTGTATAAAATTTGACACAGAATTGCCTTATTGATCAAATACTATTTCATGTAACGTAATGATTGGTAGAAACAGAAGTTACATGAGGCTTTTATGAAATTCTGTTTTGTTTGAAATGAGGTATATAGAAGCTATAAGATGTTGTATGTAGGAAGAACTGAACTATGTACCTATAAAACATCTAGATCAGAGATGACCAACTGTCTAAGTGCCAAAATGGGCTAAAGATTAATACAAATTAATAGTTTGATTGTATTTAGCCTGAATCTTTTTATAACTAGGAATGTGGCAGAATTCAGCATTCATGTATCTGCATGGCCAGATAATCCTATACTGTCTAAATGTCTTAAATATCAATTTCTTTAAAGGAATTAGTTATGTGGCATGACAAAATGTGTTAACTTTCCAAATATACTTAGAAGTAGTTAGCTCTGCTCTTCCTGAGTCCACTTCTCGTATTCCCACTACATGTTTTATGAATCCTATTTGTAGGGGTGAAAAGGGGAAGGATAGAAGCATGGAGGCTTAGATTTAAGGAAATTATAACAATTTTGAAGTAATAGGTAACATCCAGAAAGCTTAAATTCAAAAGATTGAATTATTAGCCTAAAGACTGCTAAAGAAAAGAATGTTCATTTGATTGCAGTATTGATTATGGTCTTGGTCAGTATTTCTTCTTTAATCATTTCTCATCAAATGAATCAACATATTGAGGGTATGTGTGTGTGTGTTTTCAGATGGAGTCTCGCTCTGTCGCCAGGCTGGAGTGCAGTGGTGCCATCTTGGCTCACTGCAACCTCCAACTCCCTGGTTCTGGCGATTCTCCTGCCTCAGCCTCCTGAGTAGCTGGGATTACAGGCATGTGCCACCACGCCCAGCTAATTTTTGTATTTTTAGTAGAGACAGGGTTTCACGGAGTTGGCCAGGATAGTCTCGATCTCCTGACCTCGTGACCGCCTGCCTCGACCTTCCAAAATGCTGGGATTACAGGCATGAGCCACCATGCCCAGCCAACATATTGGTATATTGAAGCTCATTAAATGAGTTCCACTGCCCCATTCTTTCTGATGATGGAATTAGACTAAATTTGTCAAACTGCAATATAAAGTACCTACTTTATATATGAATATCAGTCAATTAGTTACCACGTGCACAGTTCACCAAGTTTACTAGACAATTAAGTGGTCTCTGCTCCCTGAGTTTATTTCTTAAAAAATATAGCCTTAACTTAAAGACCTAAGTATATAGTTAGCATAGGACAGAAACTGTAAAGGTACACCTAGAAAAATCCATGTAACATAAGAAATCAAACATCCAAAACTTACACACATGTTATTTGTATCCACAGTAACAGGATTATTTATAATACAATGACATATTTTAGGTAAGATCACAGAAATTTTGAGCTGGTCTTTAATTTATAGGTGATCTCCTTCAAACCTAGAAGCCTAGTAAATGACTTACTAAAAGTAATGACCTAAGTTGATAGCAGTCAGGGTTTTTGGAACTCATGAATCCTAGCTCCTTATTGAATGTTCTTGTCACTATATCATTCTGACTTCTAGAGTTGAAATGAAATTATAGAGGGGGGATGCATTGGATTAACTTTGGGAAATCTTTGTAAGCCTAAACTTCAAATTAAACTGCAGAAGGTAAGAGAATGAGTGTTTCAAATATATTTATACCAGATGTATTAAAGAACATTATCATGAACTGATTTAGGTACCCACTTTGATCAGTCTCAGATTTGTCTCTGTTCTCATTACTAATAACCTTGACTTTGTTCAAATGCAAATCCAATTGCTATGCCTACAGTAGCAGCACTTCTCAAGTAAATCCATACCCGTTTGCCGCTGTCTCATTCACATTGGAGGCAGAGCCTTCTTTTATGTGCAGGTTAACTTAAGATATTTTTATCAGTTCCTGTTTCCTAATAAATTAGTGTTTATAGCAACAGAAAAATTGTTGAAGCCTTTGTTGTACTTTAGAAAGTAAGTTCATTTAATTTGTCAATACACATCATGTAATGAAGTTTTATTTTTATTAAGGACCCAAATTCCTTGTGATTACTTAAGGAAAACTGCTGTTGCTTCATGATTGCCCAAAATTTCGAAGAAATCTCTTCAAAGACTTCTTCAGTAGTCCAAATTATATGTTAAAATCTTCTTTTCTGCTTAGCTCTTATTTTACAAATACAACCAATGACCATGGCCATCTAAGCACAGCGTAGGCTGAACAGGGACATTTGCAAAGGTGAATATAACTATATTGGAAATCATTAAGAATTAATTTCTTGCTAGTTTATGGGAGAAAATAATACATAAGTTGTTGCTATTTCCTATTTGTAGAACACCTAATCTTGTTTTCCACCTAATGTGAGAATAGTTAACCATTTACAGTATTAATATGAGAAAGCACCAAATAAATTTAGGTACTTTCTAACACTCAGTAATGGCACGAAGGGGTGGCTTCAGAGAGTTTTATCATAGCCCTCCTCGTCCTCATCAGCTCCCTAATGTTCACTTCAAATAAATGCAGTTTGGGTGGGGAAAGCATGCTTGCTTTGCTTGCTGAGCTTCAAGACACTTTCCCCAGCTCCCACTTCTAACTAGATGGTCACTGGATTTCCCCCTATATAGAAATCTTAAGCCACTGCTCTTCATTCCTTCCACTTCTAAAATAAAATTGTACTGGTATTGGACTATGTACCTTATTCGTAATAAATTTGTAAATAGCCTGGCAACCTATTTGGGGTCTGTTTACATGATGAGTCCTTTTCTGGATTCAGAGGTTGAAGTGAAGAAACGTTTTTCTTTTGGAATTTCAGCATTCCATGGTCATTCAGTTTCTGCAGGTTAGCTTGTGACATTTTGGCACTGGATGCCCGTAAACTTAAACTTGCAATGTGCAGAGTAGGAATTCCTTACTACCTTCTTGGGCCTGAGTGAGTCTTGGTGCCTAAAACTGAGTTTGATGTATGTGGGCTAAAATGTGGTGTAAGAGTGAGTAACAGGAATTGTTTATTTCTATTGCTGCAGTAGTCATCGGAGCCCTTAGGAACTGCTATTTTCATTCCTTTGTTTAATCACAATGTCAGTCGTTTAATTAAAATGATACCATATATATGGTGTTTTTAAACTTTCAAATATTTAGTCTGGCCTACATTCAAGCCTAGCTTCTCAGACTGGGTGCTACAAACAGGTTACAACCATGCCTCGGCCTGCAAAGTGTTCAGAGAAGCTTCCAGGCCAGTGAGTTCTGGCTTCAAGCATCTTGTCCAGTTAACCTGGTATGCCCCACAACTTTAAATTGTTATTTTACTGTGAAATGTAAAAGGTTGGGAAGCATTGTATTAAAGACAGCTAGGATTTTTAAAGTTTAATTTTATGCTAGCCATCAGCAAGAACAGGAGGAAACATAGTAATTTTTGTTACAATTTTGTGCCCACTAAGCACAGGAAAAAAGATTTAAAAATCTACCATTTCTTCATATACACACTGAATCAAGACCCTCTGTCAAGTAATGCCTGTCCACTTCAACTGGGCAAAAAATGTTACCCTTTTTTTTGGTGGAAATTCTATGATGTATTATGTCTAGTGTTTTTTTTTTTCTCTCTCCTCAAAAGCATGACCTTTTAGATAACAACCCTCTGATAGAAATAGTAAGCATTACTTAGATTTTTAATATACAATCTTGTTTCTTATGACTTCATATTTGACTTCATCACTACTTTTGTTAGTGGATGCATCCATTAAGCATAAGCATGCTGCCCTACTCTCCATCTTGGAAACTGAGATTGGCTGTGAATATTAAACAGATGCATGTAAAGTTTCATAAATTTAGAGTACCTAAGCAGTCAGTGACAATATGCATTACATATTGTCTGGCTAACAAAGGGAAGAAGGAAAGTGATCTAGAAGAGAAGACTAAAGAAAGATCATTTGTAAATATTTTTCTTCCTCCTTTACGCAGTAGAAAGATTCCTAAAAATGTATGACTACTGTAAATAATGTAAATACTACTTACATTATGTTAGTGTTAAATGAACCAAGACAGTGATTTCCAGATGTTACTGATATATCTAGGCCATTGATATGCTTTGGAAAGACTTACAGGTGTTTCTGTGCATTCTGCAGGTTTACGAATCACCCTACTAATGGTCCTTGTATTTTACAGAAACTCTGTTAATGCATCCTGAGTAAAATTATCATGTATTGTATAACAGAACTGTACATTTTATTATCTCCTGATTTATCTTTATACAAGATTAGATTTGGGGATATTATTTTTTAAGCTAATATTTTGGTGGACAAGTTTTAGTCATTCATGCTCAGCAAAACAACGTTTTAGGATGGTGAGAGAAGACAAAGTAATTGATAGAAGAATGTGGACACTACTTCAAAATAACTGGGAAATTATGAGGCTGGGCACAGTAGCTCAAACTTGTAATCCCAGCACTTTGGGAGGCAGAGGTGGGAGGACTGTTTGAACTCAGGAGTTCGGGACCAGCCTGGGCAACATGGCAAAATACCATCTCTTAAAAAAAAAAAAAAAAAAAAAAAGGAAGAAACAAACAAAAACTAGCAGGGCGTGGTAGTGGTGTGCGCCTGTGTACTTAGGAGGCTGAGGTGGGAGGATCAGTTGAGCCTGGGAGGTTGAGGCTGCAGTGAGCTGTGATTGTGCCACTGTACTCCAGCCTAGGCAACAGAGCGAGACCCTGTCTCAAAAATAAGAAAATTATAAAATATTTGTGTTTTGTTTTTTTGAGACAGGATTTCACTCTGTCACCCAGGCTGGAGTGCAGTGGCACCATCTCTGCATATTACAACCTCCCCACACACCTCGGGCTCAAGTAACTCTCCCGCTTCAGCCTCCAGAGTAGCTGGCACCACAAGCGCATACCACCACGCACAGCTAATCTTTTGTATTATTGGTAGAGACAGGGTTTCACCATGTTGCCCAGGCTGGTCTTGAACTCCTGAGCTCAAGCGATCTGCCTGCCTCAGCCTCTCAAATTGTTGGGATTACAGGCATGAGCCACTGTGCCTAGCCTGTGTTTTGTTACTTAAAATAAATTATTGCATATTGAAAAGTATTTTTAATGCAGTCATTGAGCCAACAGAAATGTTTTATGGGGTTCCACTCTTGAACTTTGTTCTTTTCTTTAAAATACAGTGTTTTTTAGAAGAGCCCACATCATGACAATTTACAAATAAGCCATTAAACTCTTCATGTTTTAAGAAAAGATGAGTTCATTTATTCAATTCTTATGGTATGTTAAGTTTGCATTTAGCATCTCATTTCTCAAAACTGTCACATTGGATTGTTACTGTTATTTACTTTTGTTTTATAGATGAAATTGAAGCACGTAGAAATTAATAATATGCCCAAGGTCACACAGTGAATAAGGGATAAAGCTCAAATTTTAATATGAACCCTCTGACTTGAACCCATAGTCTTATCCATTTTGCTCTCTACTGCCTCCCAGGCAGTATGCTACCAGTCCCCATGGCCATGACCCTTACCCCATCTCTCTCAGTCATCCCTTAGGCTTATCTTATTTCTTACTATATCATTGTAATTTTTTTAAAAGCTAATTTATAAAACAAGTAGGGTAACCAGCTGTCTTGGTTTGCCCAGGACTGCCCAGTTGTAGCACTACACGTCCTGCATTCTTTGAAACCCCTCAGTTCTGGGCAAACTGGGAGTTGGTCACCCTCAGCCTATTCCTTACCCAAACCTATCCTTGCATCTCATTTCATTCTTCTTCTCACAACCATGATCTGAGGCTCAGAGATGAGATACGAGGTTACAGAATTAGATGCAAGTCAGAATTTTACACACACGTACACACACACGGAGCTAGGTATTAAAAAGCAGTGTTTATACATTTTGGTTTTTCTGTATCCAGCCACTTCAAAAATAGCTTTGTCAAAACGTGGAGAAATAGTGCATCCTGTCTGTCATGTTTCCATGAAGACTTTCCCATGCATACAAAGCATGTGAGGAGTATTGGCACATTACACACCAAACTAGATGGGAATGGAATGGTGTAAAAAGTACATTCACATTTTGTTCAATATTTTGTATTATTTGGAACTTTTATAAGAATTGTTAATGTATTATATTAGTAAAAGAGTATTCACTAAAGATCTTCAGCATTTTATATATTTATAAAGCATATTTTTAAAAATTAATAAAAGGGCATATACATTTTTATTCAGTAAAACAACAGAAGCTTTAGTATATACTTAACGTTTCTCATTATGGCAAAGTGGGAGGGAGGAAGAAGAGAGGTTGTTTGAAAGAGGTGGAAAAAAGAGAGAAACCAGAGGCTGAGAAGAGACAGACCAAGGCAGAAAGAGAAAATAGGACAGTTGAAGACTCTTGATGTTTCTGATTGGTTTCAATATACAAGACTTATTGTCATTTGTGCAGATTGGGTTTGGTTTCTAGGTTCTGGCTGGTAGAGAAACAGGAATATACAAGATAACTGAGTTTGGATAAAATAAAAAATTTTAATTTGGTGGGGCATGGTGGCTCATGCCTGTAATCCCAGAACTTTGAGAGGCTGAGGTGGGTGGATTGCTTGAACCCAGCAGGTCAAGACCAACTTGGGCAGCAAAGTGAGACCTTGTCACTATAAAAAAATTAAGAAATTAGCCAGGCATGGTGGCACGTGCCCGTGTTCCCAGCCATTCAGGAGGCTGAGGTGGCTTGAGCTGCTGAGGCAGAGGTTGTGGTGAGCTGTGATTGCACCACTGCACTCCAGTTTGGGTGGCAGAGTGAGACTCTGTCTCAAAACAGAAATTTTTTTTTAAAGGTTCAGCAGTATATTTTATGTGTTCATTCAGCTTTCTGTAGAAAAAAATTGAAGCCAGACTTACCTCTGTGAGACATGCTATACATGAAATGTATATCAAGCATTTGGTTTAGTTAGATGGCACATTGAAGTACTATAAAAAAGGACTTTTGTCTGTTCTGAACTTTGCTTCAGTGAACACAACTTGCCTAACTGTATTTAGTGTCTGGTTTATAAGACATTTGACAATATGGCAGAGAGTATAATAACATATTTTATATGACTGATATGTTTATGTTCTAAAGTGGAGATCTGTTTTAAATTTGATATTAACTTCAGAGTCCAGGTACATTCTTTCAAATGTCATCACATTAAGGAGTAGAATAAGAATCTACTCCTCAAATAAAAGTTAACTATCATTTATCCTGTTAATATACTTTTCACATTTTGTATATTTTTTCAGTATGACAGAAGAAATACCTTTAGGTTGTGTCTACATGACTAGGCAAAGTTTTATGGGCCCTGAATACATAAGGCTGTATGATCATAACTCAGAACTCATCTGTATCTTTGTTTGATGATAATCATAATCTTAGGTTCAAATTAGCTCGAGGGGAACTGGCTGGTTACATTGTTATTTCTAATTGTGTTGGCTTTGCACAAATTCCTCCTCTCTTACATTTCATAATTTTCCGCTTGAGGCACATGATCCTGTTACTTGGTTAAATCTTTAAGATTTTCTTTGGTGTTTTGAATTAATGGGTTCAAAGAGGGTCCAACTTTATAACATTTATGCTATATATTTTTATTAACTGTTGAATGTTTGACTTTGATATTCTTTTTCTTTTTATATTTAAAAGGGTTGGTATTTCTTTATTACAAAGAACTGCAAAAGAGGATATCGCCTTACCTTACAAAATAAGATTTAGGTTTGATTTACAAGCACCACCAAAAAACATTTCTGTAAGTGAATATTTTATAATAGCAATAGATTCCCAGGAGAAATTGTTGAAACCATCTGTATATATCTAGAAGAAGATGCTCATCTCTTTGGGATTGTTTAGATCACATTTTCTTTTTTAAAAAAAGAGGATTGATGTTTGCTTTGAAAAGTTGATTAGGCTTTAATTTCAGAACTTACAAAATAATGGCTCTTAAAGCTATATCACTTATTCCCATCGGTTTAAAAATAGATAATTTTATCATCGTGAAGTATTTGATAAAACATGTTTCTTTTTACACGTGAAGCAACAGAGTTTGTAAGTACTGAGCGTTCTATTAGCTACAACTATGTCCTGTTTCCAAAATACCTTACTCAGCATTCAGTAGTTTTTTAAAATGGTATTTTCATGTTGTTGAAGACTATAGAACAAATTATGTCATTTTTCTTAATACACAGTTGGAGAATCTAATGCTGGACAAAGATGGCCACATAAAAATTACAGATTTTGGACTTTGCAAAGAAGGGATCACAGATGCAGCCACCATGAAGACATTCTGTGGCACTCCAGAATATCTGGCACCAGAGGTAGGCTTCGGTTCCATTAATAGGAAAGTAACATTGACATAATGATTTGCAAAGTAAACCATTTAAGCATTAAAAGTTAACTGTAGTATCTACTACTTTTATCTATATTTCAACCTGAATCAAAATTTTTTGGCTCTTAATTTGTTATAATGGGGTATTGTAGGATCAAGAATATACTGAAATTAAATTTTATAAACTATAAGCACAAAGGTACTAGCTATAGTCAGTTAAATCAATTTTTATTTCTTGGCCATATCCATTTTATCTTGGCTATACCCATTTTGATTCATTTATTAAAATAGAATAATTGATTTCAGCAAGAGTATTTATATTTATAAACCATCTTGGACTTTCCTTAGAAACAACAGTGGTTTTTAATTTATAGTATTGTGGGTTTATTTAAAATTATTTTATTGGGAAAATTATTGAAATGACAGTAGCTACATTTTGGAATTTATGTCAGAGGAAGCTCCAAACTGGTAACTTCCCTGTGCTAAGGGTTCCACAATAATTTATTAATTTGTTTATTCAACAAATATTTATTGTGTATCTGCTGTATATCAGGTACTTTTCTGGATGATGTGGTTACAGGCACAACACAGAAAAGGATCCTAGTCTCAGGGAACTTAACTTTCAGTGGAGGGAGACAGAATAAAAATAAATAAATAACATAATGTCTTAAGTTTCATAAACAAACAAACAAAAAAGCAAGATTAAATGTAAGGGTGTGGTGTGGCTGTTGTAGATGGTGTTCCAGTTACTAATGCTGTGTAACAAACCACCCTAATACTTAGCAGTGGAAAACAACCATTTTATATAAAATAATGGATTTTCTGAATCAGGAATGCAAATGGGCACAGCAAGGATAGCTAGTTTATTCTCCACTATGTATGAGGTCTCAGCTTGAAAGACTTTACAGTGAGAGCATGATTCTATGGCTGGAGACTAGAGTCATCAGGAAGCATCTTCACTCACATGTCCGACAGTTCTGCTGCCTGTCCACTGGTACCTTATTTGGGCTGTTGGCAGGAACACTTACATGTAGCCCTTCTCTCCATGAGTCTGGACTTCCTCATAATGACAGTTTCAATGCAGTCAGACTTCTTTGGCTCTGAGCCCTAAAAGCAAATGTCCTAGGGAACACATTAGAAGCTGCATGGTGCCTTTGTTTCCACCTAGTAAACCATCAAGACTATTAACTTTTTAAAAACTTGATTTCACAGATATTTTTATAATTGGAGTACAATTCATATGCCATAAAACTTACTCTTTTAAAATACACACTTTGGTGATTTTTAATATGTTCACAGAGTTGTACAACTATCATCGCTGTCCAATTCCAGAATATTTTCATCACTCCAGCAAGAAACCCCATACCCGTTAGCTCCTCATTCTTCCTTCCGCCACAGGCAACCACTGATCTGCTTTTTGTCTTTATAGATTTACCTATTGTAGACAGTTCATACAAATGGAATCATACAGTATGGAGTCTTCTGTGACTGGCTTCTTTCACTTAGCATAAAATTCAGTGTTCCTCCCTGTTTTAGCATGTTATACTTATTTCATTCCTTTTTATGGCTGGATAATATTCCATTATATGGATATACCACATTTTGTTTATTTGTTCAGCAGCTGATGTACATTGGGTTGCATCCATTTTTTGGCTACTATGAATAATGCTGCTGCTATGAACATTTGTTTATGCATCTCCTTTTATGGCCTATTTTCAGAAGTCACACAACATCATTTCTGTCATACCCTTACTCCCTGAAGCAGTTGTAAGCCTGCACAGGTTAAAGTGGTAGAGACAGAGACCACACCTTTACATTACAGAAGAGCATGTGAGATGGGAGATACTGCCACAGCCATCTTTGAAAAATAACATCTTTCACAGATACTATGTTCAGCGAAAGTGATGGTTGATGGAAAGTGATGGTACCTGTTGCAAAGGTAAAAGGGAAGAGCTTTCCAAAGAGAGCAGCTGGTGCTCCATTTCCCCTCAAACTCCAATACAGTTATTGTGGCTATAGGCAAATAGGGAGGTGTTAATATTTGATGTGTGAGGGTAACTATTTAATGAGCATCTACTATGTGCCACCTGCTGTGTAAGTGCATTACAGCTATTATTTCATTTAACATTTGGAATAATCTTTGATGATAGATAGCAAATGCAATTTTTTAAAGGTGAGGGATCATAAGATCAGAATATTTAAATGTTATCTGTACACAGCTAAGAGGTGGTAGAAGTGTAATGAAGATTCTAATTAGTGTGTCTGACTATAAAGCCCACTTTTACTTTTTAAACTACATACGTCCTGGCCTCAAAAAATCCTAATTTGAAGACCACTTACAAATATAAATAATCGTAATTTTTAAATGAATGCTTTGTAAATGCCCAACAGGAAAAGGTAATCAAAAGAAATTAGGAAGTAAAATAAATCCCCAATGATACTAGCATTCCTTAAACATAAAGTAACTCATGCTGGTCTATTATTCTAATACTTCTTTTCAACTAGGGATTACATTTACATTTCAACAATGTTAAGTTATTGTAAATAAGTGCTACTATTTAAAATACAATAAATTTCATACTATTATTTTCTTGCCAAAAATATAATTTTCTCTCTTTAAAAATTTGTAGTTTAGAATTCTCTATTTTTGTGGTTTAATTAGGTAAAACTTTAGTAACACTGTTTCTTGTTTATTCAAATAAAATATTTTCTAGAATAGAATTGTTTTTATAAATGTCACAAAAAATTATTTGTTTCTCTGGAGTTCAGTTACCCCTGCTATAAATTTGCTATGGAAGAAGATATGCCATATTTAGAATAACAAAATTAATTGTGTCACAATTAGGGTAAATTATTTCTGAAGAAGATGAATACATCTCATTTAAGAAGCAGATGATCTGAGAAACAAATATATTATTTCATATGCAGTGTCATCAACTGAAGAACAAATTAAGAATCTAATGCAAGAAGAGTCCACTTGTTTCTGAATGGAAAGTTTATAGTTGCCACAAAATTATCAGTTTCTCTTTAAAGACAAGAAAACATTTCTGTATACCTTTTTTAATACTTCAAAAGTCTGGTCTTTAAAAACAGTTTGTATACCCATCCTTGGTGGATACACATTGATTCATAATTCAAATCTGGACACCATGTTTTTATAGGGAAGAGTGATTATTGTTGTTATTATTTGAGTATGAGAAATCTTGAAACAACTTACGAAATTGTAACTTTTATATTTTAAATGTTGTGTCACATATTGCATTTTTAAACTTTGACTGTGTTTACCCTTAAAAAAATAAGAATTTAATTCCTTTATTCTGGTCTTCAGCGTGGACCATTTTACTGAGGGACACTCATTCATTCATCAAAGAATTATTTATTGAATATTAAGTATCAGGCATTACATTAGGTACTGGGAATACAACGATGGTAGAAGATGTTTTTGCCCTCAAGTGGCTTGCTGTTCACTGAGGTGATAAGACATGGAAAACAGTTATTACTGTGCAAGAAAATAACTGCTTTACTAGTTCCATACAGTGGAGTGGAAGGAAAAGGAAAAGTGCTTAAGCCTGCAGGGAGGGTCCGGCAGTGGAAAAGGGGAAGCAGGAAGAGAGGAGGCTGGACACATAGATAGGGATTGAAATGTAACAGTTTTAGATTTGATCCTGTGGGCTAGGGAAAATTACTTGTGAATTGAGAGCAAGGCGATACTGTGATCAGATTTACATGGTCAGTGTTAGGGAGCGATTGGCAGGAGCTGAAGCCAGCCTCTTCCTTTTACCTCAGATGGTGTCTCGCACTTTTTTTGGACCTTGAAATTTCTAGTACATTACCATTATTAATGCTGGGCTTTTCGTGACAGTACTAGAAGTAGTAGTTGTGTATCAGATCTGTAATACATTCTTGACTACTGCTTCTCTTGTGAATGACTCACTGTCAACATTTTCCCCTCTGTCTTTACAGAAGATTTGTTTACACATTATGTAGGAATCTTGCTGCAACCTATACTTCATCTAGCAATAGTGTTCCTTCGCCTTTTACGTTGTTTTAATCTGGTATAAAGACAGGTGAAGGGTATTTTGAAGATACTTCACAAAGAGTGTTAGAAATCAGTTTAAAGCCAGTTTATTAAATGTCCAATGTCAGATACATGGCAGGTTTTAAAATAAACTTGAGTTTTAAGTGAACTTAATTTGTTTCTTATGGCAAATTAGAAAAACATAAAACTTACAGTATAAATATGCCATTTGTTGAAAAAAGAATATTTTTAAGGTATTTGTTCTCTTATCTCTTTTGATGAAGAATGCAGCTTACAATGCAGTTTTCCAACTTGGGAAGCATTTAACAATACTGCTAATGTAGAAAAGGCTAGCTTTGTTTTGTTTTGTGTTTTTAACAGGTTACAGCGGTTCAGTTCTAGCTGGCATATGCACTGTGCATTTAGTGTGCTACATCTTGAAAACTGCATTTGTATGTATAGTTTTAAATGAATGTACTTTTGCTCTTTTGTACATTCGAAGGAAATAAACTTATAGTAAATTATGGACCATATGATATCTTGAGGGGATTTTGTTTTTATAATCTGTGCTGTATTTTCACACCTAGAAATTATAAAAGAAATTAGAAATCACATATAAACTCTTACTGCTAAATTTTATTATTTGATTTGGCTCCTATTGAATCCAAACCATTTTATGCAGTGCTAATTATTTAGAGTCTCAGCTTTGCTCTTGAGTTAGCAGTACCTGATCCACTTTCCAACTGTAAAACAGTTTGAAAATCAAATGTAGCTTACATGCAAGACCCAACAAAATTAAAAGTGTTAAGTGCGTTTTGGCAGTTCACTTTTATTATGCCCAGTCCTCAAATGTACCAGCAGATAATCATCTGAATGTTAGTTATTTTTCACATGCTTATGTGATCACACAAAAAGTACATGCTAAAAAGAGGCAGATGGTGACAGATGGGGAAGGTTGAATAAGGTGGTTTTGGAAACCTAGAGAAATGCACTTCTGTAATAGTGTAAAAATAAAAATTATTTGATAATCAAGTTAGAACTAACAAAGATTGCAAAAAATGACTTGATTGTTGGGAAATATATCTAGCTGTGGTTGCTATTGAGAAAAAAATGCATCTAATTTTATTTCATCTAAATGTAAAATGATTTGTTTTTCCAGTGGCTGAAGTGCAGTATTTGATGCATTCTTTTTAGTTTTTTAGAACCCCATTCTTAGAAAATGTTTTGCTTGCCAAAATTTTCCTGATTTTTTCTTTGAAACCTACTATCTTTAATATCTTGCATATAATGTAACATTTTTAAAATAGCTGAAATAGATGAGAATATTTTGACAACTATTTTGATACAAAGATTTGCTCAAAGTCATTGTGTTAGCTCATAGTACACATGGAGATTAATTTCTATATAAATTAAAAACCAAAGATATATATTAACTTCCACAAAAGGTAGTAAAGGCAGTGCCAGGGCATGGACTAGTGTTGTAGGTGTGGGAAATAGTTAGAAGCTAACTTGCTTGAAATGTATTAAACAGAATTTTCTTTATTTTAAATCCAACAAAGAATAAATGTAAAATATGTCATTTTGTGGGTGCTGCCAATGTTGTTTTTAGGAGATCTGAAGAGAAATGAATGAGGCTAAAGTTACATATGTTTGCACATTTAATCTGTAGGTAAAAATAGTAGCACATGTAGTTACATTCTGATTAGTCTTTGCACAAAGTCCTACTATATTCCAGCAGATTGTAAAACTAGTCTTAGAATCTCTATGCTTTTTGTGAAAAGAAAGAGTTGTTTTAGTAGCCTTTCTAAAATTGTGGACAACCCTAACATTTTATTTACTTATTGATAATTCATATGATATCTCTCCACCTGGGGTAATTTTGAAAACCTTCATCTTCCTGGGAATTCAGAAAAGGTCTCATCACCATGATTAAAGGGAACATTAAAGGAGTAGAGGGATGAGTTCAGATAGAAGCTGTCTGCTCTATAGTTAGAATTCATGTTTAAGAACTTCTAACTCTCATATGAGTTGGCTTACTATTTAGTTGAATATATTTAATTTCTTTCTATAGTATGTTGCTATTTTATATGATTTTCTGGGTAATATTAAAAGCCATTCCATTTTATCTCATAATTGGACATTGTTTAAATATGAACTAAAATGGAATTAACGCCTCTCAATGTTTATAAGTGGCATCTTTTACTTACTTAGAGGTCTGTCAGTTCTTAAAGTAGCTATTTTTCGCCCTAACTTCTTTTCAATGTTATATGGTCTTTTGGCTTTAACAGAATATTTGCATTCAGTACTTCGGTGTGATTCTAGTTTAAGCATGAAGTTTAATTTTAAATTCTCTGTACCATGAGAACATATACAAAACTAACCCTAACTGGAAACACTGGTGATTACCTATAGTATTTTACAATGGCTATTGTTACTTGGGTTATGAAGGCTCAGTTTCTTGGAATCCCATAATGTCTATTGCTTCAGAATAAAAAAGAAGTATAGAAATTTCTTGGAAGATATGTGTAAGTATGATCTAATCATCATTATTGTATCCATTTAGCCTTTCTCTTGTCAAAGGATTTTTCCTGTGCTAGCCAGAGTTTGCTTTTGAAAGTACGATGTTAACTGTATACAAGTATTTGTGTGTGCTAGGAGAGGTGGCCATAAAGCGTACAGCATTCTAATTCATAGCAAATGGCATTGACAGTTGCTGTCACTTAAGAACTATTAAAGCAGTTGAGAAATAGTTATAAAATATATATTTATGAAGAAAATACCAAGCAACTGTAGAATTTATAATCTTATGTATTGAAATGGATACTTTTCCTGAAGCTGCAGTTTACTTTAAAATCTGAATGAGAAGATTTATAGGTCTTTTTTTCTTAGCCCATACCTGTGATGTTAAGAATATCTGAAGGGCTCCCATAAATGATAAATGATACAGATGTATGTTTAGGTATAAAACACACATCTATCAGTTACCTGAAATGTAAGGCTACCAGAAAAAACTTTTTTTTTGAATTAGTGGTAAATTGGTTCATCCAAGTTCGCAGTTTACTTTCACAGCATAGGTGTGCAGACAGTTTGTTTAGATGTTTAATTTTTTCCCCCATCTGTTCTGTCAGGATTATTGATTGAGCAGTAAGCCACTCCAGGGCATACATAGCCTCCTTATAATTGCTTGCCTTGGGTGCATTGTGTGGCCTGGTGGGCAAGCTGAGAGAGGGGTCCCTTTAACCTCCTAGTAAATCCTCCTGGTAAACAAATATTGTAATGAATAGTTTTTTTTTTGTTTTGAAAAAGCCCATTAGCCAAATAAATATTTACATTAGTAACTTGAATTGGTAGTATCATTTAAAAATATATAGTTTCTCATTCAATATCATTCTTTGAAATTAATAACAATTCAAAAACTAATGTGTTTTAACTCACCTGGCTGTTTTATAAATGTAAGTGTCTTCATCAAATATTGATCAAATATTTCCAGGATATTTAATGTTAATTTGTATCTGCTGTAACCTCCTTGAGTCTTAGGTTTTATCGTATCATAAAGTAAAGCAGTTTCTGGCTCCTATTAGAAATACAGCCTTGTTTTCTAGACTTTGTGCTCTGTTTAAGTTTTCATTTGATGTGACCTCTCATCATTTTTTAACAATTACATTTTTTTGATGTTCCAAATCTCCTCTTTCATCTCTGTTTGGGCATTTGTGTTAAAGGTAGGTATAATGTACAACTACATCTGTGGTTACAAAGGACTGTAGGGGTAGAGGAAATACCAAATGTCTGCTTTCCTATTTAAAGTTTGGGTTTCATTTACAAGTCAGTAATGTTGGTTTTATGGAAAGGAGACAGAAGTTATTTCTTCAAGATAAATCTTTCACTGGATTTTTTCAGGAGCATATTTTGATCTGCATTTATATCCAAATTATATGAGAAATTAACCTTTTAATGAAGTTGAAATATGCTCTACCATTGTTGTACCTGTCCATTATACCACTGTTTATCATACCTTTCAGCCAGCCCTCACAATAACCATGAAATAAATTAGCCTTTTAGCTAGAAAAAAATGATCAGAGGTAGCCAGAAAGAATTTGCAATCCTTAAGTTAAAAAAATGTAAATTTTATATGTTATGTATTTATAGAATAATAAGTGCTTTGAGTAGAGGGAGAAAAATTGTCTTCTTAAAATAATGTGAAAGAGGTTATTGGATTCGAATTGGTTAATTTGGCTGTGGGATTTCCAGAGTATTTGAAAGTATTGTGTTTTGAAATAATTTAGATTCAGGAAAGAGAAAGGATATTGTTTTAATAGTGGGAACATATGTATCCACATGTAGGATACTGTAATCATTATTTATGTATGTTTCATCTTATAGCTGTTTGGAGATAGGATTTGGACAAAAATCTTTCTAATTGATAGTGAAGTCTCTTAGGTAAAGAGGGATTTTAGTTGTTAGGGTGTTTTCTTCTCAGCATTGCTTAAGTTTACATGTCAGGAAGACAATACGTTACATCAGTTTTGTTCAATACAAAGTAATACGGCAAACAGTTCTAATTATAGCATTATGTATCTGTAGATCAATTAAGGCACGTATGTTCAGAGGCAAAATCACTTATTTTAAGAATCGATATTCATTTTACAAAGCTAAATAAAATGTATTTTATTTTATCAAACAGATTTTTTTACAATGCAGTTTTATTTTTCAGTTGCTTACTTCTCTTCAAAAATAAAACCCCCCTTTTTTATGTACTCACTTTCCCTTCTGGCTGCAAACCAGGTATTTAAAAAAAATAAAGGATTGCCAGTTTTGCCAGCTGGGGATGAGAACCCGGCTGGTGAAATGTGGGTTCGGGAGGCAGTTAATCCAGCTTTTATGCTTTTTATGGTTTTATGAAAAAAAAAAGAGGTTAAAAACCACATTTGGCTCCTTTTCGTATATGCCACTGTTGTGTTGGTGTTGTAGGAATGTAGTTAAAGGTTACTTAGATATAAATTTTTGGTTGTTATTAGTTAAAATCTTGTGTCAATTAGATAAAGGCCCACCAACAGTGCATTGTACTAATTGGCCATGAGCGAGATCCTTGAATCATCAAAAGTCAGTGGTATTTTAAAATAATACATGCAGCATTTCCTTTAACGTAAATATGAAGTAGAATTTCTTCTGCTTTTTTAGGTTATTTTTTGTTTTCTATTTGTTCTCAAATTACTCATTTCAAACAAGTAAAAATATGACATTCTTTGCGCTGATGATGAAAACTAGAATTTGTTGTTCTTCCAGAAAATGTTTTTTTGTTAGTTTGTGATTTACAAAACATTTCTAGAAAAGCATAGGATCTAAACATGTGTTCATATCTTACCAGTGAAGTTTTCAGTTTTTTAGCCGTAAAACAAACATTGATATAATTGAATTAAAAATCTTTTCATAATAGAAATGCTTATTGAATAGATCTTTTAAGTAACATATTTTTTCTTATAAATTATATCCTTTGTCTTTAAATACCCTACCAAAGTGCCTTTCATAGTATTTTTAGGTAATCATAATGTAACTGTCAAAAATATCACCTGTAATTCTGTGAGATTATTGGTAAATTTTAAATAAAAGTCATGTAGGAGTAATCTTCCAGAAAATATTTAATTCGAAGCAAGAAAGTTTGGAACACAAGTACTGCTTTGTCCTTATCAAATGTTCTCCTTTGTAATCGGTTGTAAGTGTTTTTAAATTGATAAATTCATATATTTGGTTTTCCCCATCTGGTTTTCCAAAGCTGAGAGGATCAAATAAAATAAGCTTTAAGATTATCAAATATAGTTTTAAAATAAAATATTCAAAGTTGCATATAGATGAGGAATATTCCATTGGATGAAGAACAAATCTGATAAAAAGATAAAACCAAATTTTTCCTGGGGCAAATGGTAGGTTACCATGTTACCATTTGAACAGGTTGCTCCAGCATAGGCAAACGGATACTTTTGTATCATTTCTAACTAAATTTATTTTACGTGTAATATATTTTGGGAAAAATTTAAGGACATATACCACACAGATATTAAGTCCATTTTTTTTGCTGTAACAGGAATTTTTGTTGTGAGGTATAAAGCTGTGGCTATCAAAGTTTATTACAGCTCGTACCATAAGCTTTTATATTCACTTTGTCTCTTAAATAGTTCCAGAAAGAGTTGAAACATACAGGGGCATCCAAAGGTTTTTCAAAGTTATTTTAATGGTTGTCTTGCCCTGTAGACTTCTCCATTACATTGCCTTTGTTTACTACTGTCTTTCACTGTTTAATTTGTATTACTTAGTTCTTCTTAAGGCAAGAATGTACAGTGCACTTTATGTGCTCTATAATCAGCACACCCTAGCTCTGAGTTGTTACTTGAAGTCCACATGGGTGGAACCAGAATGAAAAAGTCAGTAGGCCTAAGAAAAAATATGTAAATATGCTAGCTAACGTTTTTCATTTGATCCTTATGTATATTCATGTACTTGGGATTTTTTTTTTTTTGTACGACCTGCCCCTTTTTTTGTACACTGGCCATTTGTGGATATATATTGAATATTTCACATATTTGATGTGATTTGTATTTTTTGTAGGATGCTTCACAGTTTAAATGTCAAGATCTCAGACTACCTAGGCTTTGAAAGTTAAGATTCATTTTTATGTAAAAATCTTATGTTTTATGAATAATGCTTTAAAAGTTAACATGTAATAATTAATCTTTTTACTGATTTCACTTTTAGGTGTTAGAAGATAATGACTATGGCCGAGCAGTAGACTGGTGGGGCCTAGGGGTTGTCATGTATGAAATGATGTGTGGGAGGTTACCTTTCTACAACCAGGACCATGAGAAACTTTTTGAATTAATATTAATGGAAGACATTAAATTTCCTCGAACACTCTCTTCAGATGCAAAATCATTGCTTTCAGGGCTCTTGATAAAGGATCCAAATAAACGGTAAGCCTCAAATAACGCTTAGTGAATTACTGATGAATGTGGTTAAAAATTGAGATATGGAAATTAATTCAAATATAACTAACTCCAAGAAGCAATGTATTTGGTGTAGACATCTTCCCACTGAGATCCTGACTTATTTTTAACTGCATAATATAGAACATTTAAAAATTTTTCTCAACTCTTTCCTAACTTGGAAATTTTATGCAGATTTACCAAATAAGGATTTTGAGAGTTTCATTATCCATATTATGAGTGAAAATTTCTTAATTGCTCTGTTACTTGATCTTGTGGGGATAGAAGAATCACTTTTCTTTCTTTCAGTCTCTGGGCCTTTGTATTTCTTATAAAAGGAATAGACCTATTTTTCAATACTCTCCTCCCACCCGCAACCTGTGTTAACATATCTAATTGCATTTTTTTTTTTTTTTTTTTTTTTTTTTGAGACAGAGTCTCACTCTGCCACCCAGGCTGGAGTGCAGTGGCGCGATCTTGACTCACTGCAACCTCTGCTTCCCAGGTTCAGGTGATTTTCCTGCCTCAGCCTCCCGAGTGGCTGGGACTACAGGCACCTCCACCACGCCTGTCTAATTTTTGTGTTTTTAGTAGAGACGGGGTTTTGCCAAGTTGGCCAGGCTAGTCTTGAACTCCCGACCTCAAGTGATCCGCCTGCTTCGGCCTCCCAAAGTGCTGGGATTACAGTCGTGAGCCACCGCACCCGGCCTCTAACTGCTTTTTTGTCATTTGAAAATAATCTTTTCTATGCATAGCTGAAAGAGTTGATGGCAAAAAATAATTGTACACACTTTTAATTTCTGTTTTTGTAGCTACAGCTATGAATTGAAGAACTCTATGGCTCTTGCTGCTTTGTTCAATGAGCTACAGTATTTTTATTCATGTTTATACATTCATTCATATTTATAAATTCATAAATCATATGTGAAATGACTATTAATATTAAAATGTTTCTTAATATGTGTGTTTGTATATGGATATATCTGCCTTCCCATCTAGGTATCTGTGCATATCAGTATTTCTCTGAGTCTACTCATTTGAAGCATAGATGATTTCACATATTGTTGAATATTTTATAATACCTCACATAGAGTTTTATGAAAATGTTTTACGTATGGTTGATGCTCATATATATATATATTATATATATATGAGTGGGTTAATGAGTGAATCCCAAAAAGTTGGATTTTTAAGTCTATCTGAGAAATGGTTTTCATTGTATTCTTCTAGCTTTTAACCTTGTAAGGAACATGGCTTTATCTTCAGCAGAAATAAGCAAACATAATAAAAGAGATATTGTCTTTCTGCTTTGTGAAGACTCATTCAAGAAACATTTTGTAATCCTAGCTGCAGATATTATTTATATGTGTAAAGTGATTTTGTTTTCTTCTTCAGAGCACTTTCACAGCTATTAATTCCCTTGCTTTTTCAGGAGCCTTGTTGGGTGGATAGGGGAGATACTATTCTTATTTCCATTTCATTGAGTTGAAAACAAAGGCCCAGAGAGGGTTAGGTGATTTCTTCAAGGTCTCTCAGAACATTCATGCAGACCAAGAGTAGAAGTCAAGTTTCTTGGTGCCTATTTGGTATTTCTTATGTATCTTATTTACAATGCAGCAGTTTCTCAGTTTAAGTTTTGAAATGTGTTCCGTTTGATAGCGTTCTTTTACAATTAAGTAAGGAGCAGCACCCGATGATAGGTAACTTTAAACAGAGTGGTGACTTTTATCTTTTTTTTTTTTTTTTTTTTTTTTTTTTGAGAGGGAGTCTCGCTCTGTTGTCTGGGCTGGAGTGCAGTGGCGCAATCTCGGCCCACTGCAACCTCCGCCTCCTGGGTTCAAGCAATTCCCCTGCCTCAGCCTCCTGAGTAGCTGGGACTACAGGCGCCTGCCACCACACCTGGCTTTTTTTTTTTTTTTTTTTTTTTGGTATTTTAGTAGAGATGGGGTTTCACCATGTTGGCCAGGATGGTCTCCATCTCCTGACCTCGTGATCCACCCCCCTCGGCTTTCCAAAGTGCTGGGATTACAGGCATGAGCCACCGTGTCCAGCCGACTTTTATCTATTTCATTTTTTGGTCTAATATTTGGCTTGGTATTCGAGGCAGTGAATATTTATCTCATCGTTTTCTTATTCCTGCAGGCAACTTTGACCACCCTTTACTTTGTGGCCCTCTTTATATAAGTGGCTAGTAGAACAAAATGTACTTGTGGTTTTCATGTGTATGTCTCATTCATTTTTTTTTATTTGTCAGCCCACTCCATGAATAGCACATAGTCGGTACTTAGGAACTATTGAATGAATGTGAGGCAAATTCTTAGAATGTTAACCGCCTAGTATGTATTAATAGAACAATTCCTAACTGTTTGTTCACCAGGAGGTTGATATTGATCTAATGAGAAGATGCAGTATTTTCAATGATCTAATAATTTCTTTTATAATAGATGTGTCAAGCCCCTCCACTGCTGCATCAAAATACAGAGAATACAAGGATGAGTGAGATGAACCAGTCTCTGCTCTAGATGTTCATAGAATAATTTGGGGCACAAAACATATACTCACAGATGCTCAGGTCAAACTACATACAAAGTACTGTTGAAATTATTGGCTTTGTCTAGGGGATTGGGGGACTTGAGCTGGATCAGAAAGGAGTTTGAATTTGCATTGGCACTCAAGCACAGAAATTTACATGTAGAGTATAGCTAGGATTGCAAAAGAACATGGCATTTGAGAAGTTCAGTGACTAGAGTGTAGAATATGAGTTGGGTAACACTGGGAAATGAAGCTGATATATTAGATTATAAGGATCTTAGGTTTCTTAGAAAATATTTAATCTTCATTCAGAAGAGGGTGAGATACTGCTTAAGTGTTTAAAGCAAGGGATAGTATAATCAGATTTGTGTCATGAAAAGGTAACTCTGGCAGCTTTGTCATGGACAGATTAGATGAGTGAGGATCCAGGGGCAGGCAGAGCAGTTAAAAGTGTTTATGGGGCCAGGCACAGTGGCTCACACCTGTAATCCCCGCACTTTGGGAGGCCGAGGCAAGAAGGTCACTTGAGGTCGGGAGTTCAAGACCAACCTGGGCACATAGCAAGATTCATCTCTACTAAAAAAAAATAAAATGCTGGGTATGGTGGCACATGCTGTAGTCCCAGCTACTTGGGAGGCTGAGGTGGGAGAATCGCTGGAGCCCAGGAGGTCGAGACTGCAGTGACCCAAGGTGACACCATTGCACTCCAGCCTGGGCAATAGAGTGAGTCCCTGTCTTTTTTTTAAAAAGAATATTTATGGAATTGTTCAGATAATAGATGGATTCCTTCCTGAAGCAGTAGTACACAAGTGATAGAGGTTATGATTAACTAGAAACTATGAGGAAGTAGGAGGAGTTAGGAATCCCTCTGAGGTTTCCAGCTAGGGTGATTAACAGACAGGGTATGCAAACCAAGGAGGCTTGATGGGGCTAGATGTTGATAATAACTTTGGGTACACTGAGTCTGAAGTTTCTATATAAAACCAAGATGGAAATGTCAAGTGAGCAGCTGGAAATAATAGAATGAATGCTTAAAAGAAACACAGTAACTGACTACATGGATTGGGAACCATAACTATATCTAGGAGGTAGCTAGAGCCAAGGCAGTAGTGGCAAGGGTAGTGGATAAGGAGAAGAGGGCCTAGGACAGAATCTTAGGGAACCTCAGTTTCAGGGGGAGAAAGAAAAGAAAGCTAACAAGGACCTTGAAAAGCCTTTGGAAACATAAGTAATGATAGCATTATAATACACCTCTTCATTTTTTCTACGCAGCTATTTTAAATACTACTGGAATTTTTCTGGTATTTCTTATTGAATTGCTGTTAGTTCTATCCAAGGGTCAACTATCATTTTGCTTTTATTTCTTAGTCTCCATCCTTTCTGTTCATTCTGTTAGCCCCTCCTTTATCTTCCTATGCGGAGTTGATAGGAAAAGCATGACCTCATGTATTCAGTAACATTAGGAAAATGTGAATTCTGTGATGTTCCTAATAGTAAAGGAATTTGTAGTAGCTGAGGATTTAGTCTGGCATTCTGATACTGGAGTTTAGTATTCTAGACATAAATATCTTACTTCAAAGCATATTTTGTTATTATTTTTGAAGTCTTAAATTGTATATTAGAGAGTCATTGACACTGAAATTTTTGACAGTTTCACACATTGAAGAAGTGTGTTAAAGAATTTCTCCTAGCTTCTAAAATGGAAGTCTGATTGTATTCTCAGACTTTGCATAGTATTCATAGCTGATATTTTAGTTTTATATGTATTTGATAAATATAGAATAAATGCTGGCTATGTTCAAAACCAAAGTATTGCTAGAAAACTTGAGGAGTTACAAAAATGGATAACTAAAGCTGGATTAAAACATTTTATTTACAAAATGATTATGATTCTCCACTCCAACTCCCATCTCAAGTACAATTCAAATGAAAACAGTATTGAAATAAACTACAACATAAGTGTAAGAAAATGCCATGGAGCTTTGATGTTTCTCATGCAGACTATGTTGACGCATGCTTGAAAATATTAAATGCTTTTCAGAAACGTGTTTTGGTGCTTTTGCTTCTCTGGTTCCCCAAGCACAAGCTTAGAATGCCTTTTGGATAATCCAGCACTGATCTTGCCTTCAAAGGAGTTTGCAGTCTCCTGGGAAAGAAACCTACACAACTGAAATAGAATGAAAAAGAGGGCAGGGTCTGAAATGCTGAGCTCTCACTGAACACAGAACTACCAGTCTGAAAATTCCAAATGCAAACATCGAACAGCACTATTATGATCAAACCTAAAAGTGCCATCTCTGGGGTATAGTTCATTTAGAGAATTCTATAAGGATCTGGGAGTTGGAGACCCAGCTGGTGGGAATTATTTATCATCACTAAAGATATTCAGGTATCAGTTGACTGTTTTCCATTTTAATTGTGTGTCAAAGGATACTAGGTCCTTCCCAGTCATGTGTTTCTTAGATCTAATAACCAGAATTCATTAGAATTATATAATTATAAATGATTTCTGACCTACGATGGCTTGACAATTTTTTGACTTTATGATGGTGCGAAACTGATGCGTATTTAGTATGCTCCTCAACTAATGATGGAATTGCATCCAGATAAAACCATCTTAAGTTGAAATGTGGGCTTATCTAGACATAACCCATCATTAAGTTTAGGAGCATCTGTATTTGTTTTCTATGACGTATTTGGTTTTCTTCCAACCCAGTGGTGTTTTGGAGTTAGCATATACCAGCTCTCAAGAACCAACTGTTAAATTTTCACCAATTTTATGAGCTGGTTGTATATTATAGTCATTACTAAAAATTATATAAATTTACTAATAATAGGAAAATCAAAGGTCATAAATACTAAAAAGTCATTACTCCTTAATTTGTTATGTTTCACTGTTATCTGTATTTTTGAGATTAGTTATGTCTGCTGTATCTGTTTGGACATAATATATAATGGTTTGCTACTATGCATCTCTTCCTGCCTACATGTTCAGTGACATCTTATTGGTAGCTCGAAACTGGCCACAGTGGAAGAATTTATACCGCCAGAATTGGCAAATACTATGAGTTGGGGCTGCACTTACTGTTTTGTTGACTGTTTAGACTTAAGAGAAAATATTAATAATGCAGATTCATTACATTGTAAATAGCACCAAAAAATGAATCTTCTTCCACCATCCCAAAGTTACTAAACATTTAGCAAAGAAATCACTCACATAACTGACAAGTGAAGTTCTGAAGTCTCCATTGTATCACTTTCAGCTTTGACTTTAACATAAACAAAAATGTCAACCAATATTCATGTTGGAACTAATCGTAAGTTTCATCCATTAGTGGCTTTGGCGTACAGCAGAAATTAACAAGTTTTCTGTGAGAATCAGGTGACTAATTTACAATACACAACATTGTATGTTTTATGATCTTTGTAAATTTTGTGTTTTGCATTCTTTATATCAGTAAAATTTAAATTTATATGTCTGGGGTGTGGTGGTGGCTAGGTCAGGCAAGGTTTGGTCCCAGCAGCTCCATGGCTGCTCTGCTCTGAGCATCTGGTATCTACTGTGCCTTTGAAAAAAAAAAGAAAAAAAATTATATTTGTATAAATGCATGATTGCTCACAGAGAGCTGGTTGTTAAGCACTTACCAGCACATATCATTTCTAATAATGAACAAGTCCAAATAAAGCCTACTATATAAAATTCAGATTTAAATAGGTTTATTTTATCTTCCTTTCCTTGTTCTTTTCCCCTCTTTTCCTCCTGTTCTTCCTATTTCTCACTTTTAGTTCTTTTATGCTTAGTAATATATACTATATTAAACTGAATAAGCCAGAAAACACTGAAATTTCTTTACCTATTATTAGTCCATTTTCATTCTGCTATGAAGAAATACCTGAGACCGCATAATTTATAAAGAAAAAGGGGTTTATTGGACTTACAGTTCCACATGGCTGGGGAGGCCTCACAATCATGGCAGAAGGTGAAGGAGGAGCAGAGGCACATCTTACAGGGCAGCAGGCAAGGGCATGTGCAGGGGAATCGCCCTTTATAAAACCATCAGATCTCATGAGACTTATTGACTATCATGAGAACAGCATGGGAAAAACCTGCCCCCATGATTCAGTTACCTCCCACCTGGTACCTCCCATGACACATGGGGATTATGGGAGCTACAGTTCAAGATGAGATTTGGGTGGAGACACAGCCAAACCATATTCCTATGTTGTTTCTAACCCTTGCAGTGACCCACCAGCAAACGTTATCATTCCCCACTCTGCAGATGAGAAAACTGAGGTTAAGCCTCTTTTCTGTTGTCACACATCTCATAAGTGCCAGACATGATTGCCTCTTCCAGATCTATCTCTAAAGCCTCTGCTCTTTTCCAAATACCATACTGTTCTGAAGCTAGTTCTTACAAGCATATTAGGAAAAATAGATCTTATAGCAAAAGCTTTTTACTTTTAGAGCTATTTATCCCAAGAACTGTTTATTACACAGAAAATTACACTTTCACAAAATATTTTTTGTTATGCTTTGAGCTTATGTAAATGTTTTATACTTACTTAATTTTATTTCTGTTCTCATAGCCTTGGTGGAGGACCAGATGATGCAAAAGAAATTATGAGACACAGTTTCTTCTCTGGAGTAAACTGGCAAGATGTATATGATAAAAAGGTAAGATTTCTTTATGGCATAGTGTGTATATATTTTGGCTGCACTGCTAAAATGAATTTATAGCAAAAATATTTTAAGTGAATAAAAGTTAATGATGTAATGATACTTTCCATTTTACCGACATTTAAGTGATTATTGAACTTCTGTGCACAAAATTTTACTCATGATTTTGACTCCCCAAATGCCTCTTGAGATTTTGCTCAACATGATCACAGAATTTTTCTATTTTTTTCCCATAATAATTTGTTTGCCTCTCATTATTTCTTTAATTTTAATAAAGATACCAAGTGTTAATTTTTCTTTAAGAAAACTAGTTAAAATTTTTTAATTTGCCCTTATGTCTTTAATTTTAAAGTGAACACTTCAGATTCATTTATACAAATCCTTGTTTTAAAAGAAATTTAAAGAAATTTGTTTTTAATATTTAATGAAGGTAGTAAACACAGTGTCTTACTTTGGACTTCTCTGTCATTTGAAACAGAACTTTATTGCCCACAAAATTAATACTACTAGGCCAGGCATGGTGGCTCATGCCTGTAATCCCAGCACTTTGGGAGGCTGAGGTGGGAGGATCACTTGAGGCCAGGAGTTTTGAGACCAGCATGGGCAACACAGTGAGACCCCATCTCTACAAGAAAAAAAAAAAATCAACTGGGCGTGGTGGCGCACTCCTAAGAAGGCTGCTAAGGCAGGCAGGAGAATTGCTTGAGCACAGGAGGTTGAGGCTGCAGTGAGCTGTGATTACACCACTGTACTCCAGCCTGGATGACAGAGTGAGACCCAATCTCTTAAAAAAAAAAAAAACAAAAAACAAAAAACCACTACTAATTACATATGTTTAGTTTTATTGTGATCTGCTTATTACTTTTTATTCATTTATTTATTTATTTTTTGAGGCAAGGTCTCTGTTGGCCAGGCTGGAGTGCAGTGGCACGGCACGATCACAGCTCAGCAGCCTCTACCTCCCCAGGCTCAAGTATCCTCTCACCTCAGCCTACCAAGTAGCTCGGACTGCAGGCATGAGCCACCATACCTGCCTACGTTTTTGGTACTTTTTGTAGGTTTTGCCATGTTTCCCAGTATGGTACTGAATTCCTGGGCTCAAACAATCCTCTCTCCTTGGCCTCCCAAAGTGCTGGATTACAGACGTGAACCACTGCACCCACCCTTCTTGTTCTTAGTACTGCAATTTTTGCTTAAGTTCAGGAGCAGGAAATTATTATGTCTGTCCCCCCCTCCCCCTGCTTTTTTTTTTTTTTTTTTTCCCCCACTACCTCAGATATTGTTAGTACAGACAGGGATTTTGATACTTTGATTTTCAGATGCTTGTATAAAATGTTTACTATGAAATGTTTTTCATTCAATAATCTACTCCGAATTTTTCTGTAATTATTTTTAGTTCATCCATTTCAGTTTATTCCAACATTTCATATTTTTCTCTGAAACATTTATTAGTCAACAACATTTATTTGGGGTCTGTTATGTGCCAAGTGTTCTTCTCTGTTAAGCCTTAAGGTAAACATAGAATTATGTCATATGAATTAGATGAGTTAGGAGGAAGTAACACAAGCACTTCATGTCTGTATTATGTTATTGGTTACTGGGAGTATGGTGATTTTCTGTTTCTTGTAACTAGGAATTTAAAATAGGTGCATCATATTAGACACCTCTACTCGATTCAACTCACATATCTTGAGTTTCTACTATGTATAAAGTACCATGTTAAGTACTGAATCCTTCACAACCTTTATGAGAAGCACTTGAGCATTCCTAAATGTTTATTCACTTCTTACAGACAATTTTATATCCACTTAGTATCACTGAGGATGTTCCTTATGAGTTGCATGCATATATAGGAATGCCTCTAATGAGCTGTGTACTGTTTTCATCGTGTCAGTACACTACAAAAGAACCTGGAAGGAAGAAGGGCTTGCTGTCTCTCCCAGAAATCATGCATGGTTTTATTTTTAATAAATAGCTAATAATAAGCTACAACTAAATATCATCCTTTCTAGACACCCTCTTCTAGGAGGACTTACTCCAAAAAAAAAGAAGAGGAAAAGAACCATTTCTTTAAGAGACAATGGTTGAGGTACCAATGTGGCCCTGTAAATTCAAGGAAGGGCCAAAATATGGACCTTCTTAGTCCTGTGAGGAAATAAGATTTGCTACAACGTTTCCTTATCTCAGTGTTCAGCTATTCATGTTGAATAAGAGTTTGGCCCCACCTGGAGAAAGCTCTGAGAGCCCAACCAGTATACCAGTAAGGAAGCAAGGCCTGTCCTATCTCAGCTCCACTGGGTTAGACATGCCCAGTGTAAAGGTGATAGTAAGACAGCCAGGAGCTACCATGTGGGAATGGAATTAGGGGAGCCAGCAGCTCTGGCAGGGAGGAGGAGCTGCCTAAACACCTTCTGATGACATGTAGATAAATTCGTTCAAGTTGTTATAATTATTTTTTTTTAATGGGTGCCACTTAATTTGAGCAAAGGTGTTAAATATCTTGCATAAAGAAGCACAACCCAAAATGACTGTTTCTGTAAACAATAGATTGGTCGTGGATTGGTGCCATCTACAGGCTTACTCACGGTGTCCTGTGTGACCCGCGAGGCTCTGGTGTTCTCTGCCGCCCCATATATACTTGAAGGAGCAACTTTATTATAGCAGCACTTTTAAATTTGAGTTTCTTTCTAAAAGGAAAATGTGATTGAGTCTATTTGGGTTTGTATCATATCACAGATGAACATGAAATTAATTTTGAGAACCAGCCTGGGGGTTAGTAGCTGTTTTAATGAATTCAGTTAAAATTTCAGTGTTTTAGTGTAAATTACTAAATAATTTATAAAATAAAACATTTTAATGGAGTCCTTATATCTTTAAAATGTGTAATTTATTGTAAAAGTCAATTCATTCCTAAGATCAGGGATTATTGTTACATTTTTATTGTTTTGATAAATTTATTCTTAATTTATTATCACATAATTATTGGTTATTTTTCTACTTATTGCTGCACATCGAGAGGTGATGGCACATCTAGAGATTCTGGCATCTGTTGAGGAGATCTGAATCTCTTTCTAGGCAAAGTAAAAAGTGAAAGTAATCTTAATTACAAGTAGCATGATGTACCACTCTAAAGAGCACAGTATCAAAACATGAAAGAACAAAGTTGGATCCTGGTCCTGGATTTGCTTCTTGCTTTCTTTGTGGAAATGGACAGGTCATTTACTCATGCAAAAGATATGATCCTTTAACTACCTTCAAGCTTTTAAGATTCTCTAGCAGGGTGTTTTATAGCATGAATTTATCTAGATTAATGTCTATATAGATTTCTACGTAAATTTTACACTCTGTCAGTCTGCTAAGATTTTGTGTGAGATTGTGTTGAATCTGTAGATAAATTTAGGAAGAGCTGACATCTTAACAATGAGTCTTCAGATCCATGAATGCAATTTATTTCTCCATTTATTTAGGTGGTCTTTAATTTCTCACAGTAATGTTTTGTAATTTTCAATGTTTAAGTCTTACACAAATTTTGTTAGGTTTATCCTTACGTGTGTTTCATGTCTTCCAAGGGAAATGATATTTAAAATTTCATTTTCACTTTGTTTTACTGCCAGTATATAGAAATACAGTTGGTTTTTTCATATTGACCTTTTCTCCTGCAGGCTTGCAAGAATTAGTTGTAGTAACCTTTTTTGTAGATTACTTACAATTCTCTGCACAGACAATCATATCTTCTGTAAATAAAGTTTTACTTCATTTCTAATCTGTATGCATTTCCTTTCTTCTTTTGCCTTGCTGTATTGGCTAAGACCTTCATTATAATGTTGAATAGTGGTAAGAGTGAGCATCCTGACTTTGTTTCTAGTCTTAGGGAGAAAAGCACCTTTTACCATTAAATATGATGTTAATGAGCACATCTAGCAGCCAGATCTGGGTTTCTAACTATTATTCTCCAATAAAAGGAACCAAGGCTCCTTGAGGACGCGACTGATTTCAGCACTAGTATAGGGGGAGAAAAAAAGATGAGCGTGGAGAATTTTGTGGTGTCAGAAAGTAAGGAGGGAGCCTTAAAAAAAAAAGGCAAGACCTAGAAAACAGCCCAAGCTGAAGGGTCCTGTAGCAGAAGCTGAAACAATTTCAGTAATAAAGTAAATATAGTGTTAGTTTATGATCCAAAGGATGAAATATGTAATCATGAGTCTATATTGCATAAATAAGTGATTGATTGTCTAAATAAAGTGTTGAGAGGGACATGTCTTCCTTACAGATGAATTCCAATTAATGTAAAAGAGGTGAGTAGAGTAGAAAATCAAATCACCATTAGAACTCCAGAGTGAAAATTGCTCATTCAGAATTCACCTATGAATATTAAAATTAGTAAGCAAAAGTTTAGGAAAGAGGATATTTCCATACTCTCAAGATATCTCCCTGTGAACATTTATCATTTACAAAGGTAAAATGACTAACTTTACAGTGGAGAGATCTGGAAAACACAGTTTTAACCAAGTGATCACGGTTAACATCACCAGTAAGTAAGATGTTGACTTCATGGAACCCATGATAAGATGCTCTGAGAAGGGCACAGTACTTTTGAAGTGCTCTCCTCCAAGATGCATAACCTCAGTATAATCATGAGGAAACCTGAAGAACTCACAGGGAGGGACATTCCTCGAAATACCTGGCCTGATAACTTTAAAAGTGTTAGCCTCATGATAGGCAAAGAATGATGATGGAACACTCATAGATTGGAGAGACTAAAGTGGCATGATGACTTAACTGCGATGTGGGATCCTGGGTTGGGTCCTGGACTAGGCAGGGGCATTGGTGGAAAAACTGGTGAAATTGAAATAAAGTTGGTAGTTTAGTTAATAGTATTGCACTGATGTTAATTTCTTTGTTTTGATATTCATACTATGGCTATACAAGATACAGAGGAAGGTGGGTAAAGGGCATATGGTAACTATGTGTACTATATTTTTGTAAGTCTTCTCTAAGTCCAGAATTATTTGAATATGTTATAAAAACATGATGTTATAATATAGATGTTTTATGCCTCCTTTATCAGATTGAGGAAGTTCTAGTCCTAGGTTACTGAGAGTTTTTAAAATCATGAATGGGTATTGAATTTTATTAAAGCTTTTTCTGCACTTACTGCAATGATCATATGGCTTTTCTCTTTTATGTTCTGTTAAAATGGTGAATTAACATTGATTTTCCAAAGTTGAGTGAACCTTGCATTCCTGTTGAAAAAAACCACTTGTTCATGATGTGTTATTATATATTGCTAGCGTTGGTACATTGTATTTCTAAGGATATTTGCATCCTGAAATCCTGAGTGATATTACTATGTCATCTTCTTTTCCTAAAATGTCTTTGTATAATTTTCACTTCAGGATCATGTTTGCTTTTTAAAAACAAAAGGGGAAGTACTCCTCCTTTCTCTTTAATTTTATTGAATTGTTTGTATGGGATTTGTATTATTTATTAATGAAATATTTGGTGGGATTTACTAGTGAAGCTCTCCCTAGACCTGGAGTTTTGTCTTTGTTGGTAAGTTTTTCACTGTGAATTCAATTTATTTAATAGTTACAGGGCTGTTGTGGTTATCTGTTGTTACTCAGATGAATTTTGCTCTTTGTGTCTTTCAAGGAATTTATCATCTAAGTTAAGTTTCTCTCTAAGGACTGTTAGTCATGCTTTGCACATTTTGATGTGCTGTGTTTTCATTTCAAAAGAGTTTTAATTCCCCTTGTGATTCCTTCTTAAGGGTTATTTGTAAGTGTGTTGATTAATTTCCAAATATATGGATTTTTCAGATATCTTTCTGTTACTGATTCCTAGCTTAATTCTCTTTTGGTTGGAGAACATATTTTATATGATTTTAATTGTTTTACACTTTAAAAGATTTGTTTTATGGCCCAGAAAATGGCTTATGTTGCTGTATGTTCTATATACACTTGAAAGAATCTATACATTGACCCTTGAACAATGTGGGAGTTACGGGCACCATGCTCAAAAACCCAGTAACTTTTGACTTCCTAGAAACTTAACTACTAGTAGCCCACTGTTGACGAAGCCTTAATGAACAGTTGATTAACACATATTTTGTATGTTATTTGTATTATATACTGTATTTTTATAATATAGTAAGCTACAGGAAGGGAAATATTATTAATAAAATCATAAGGAAGAGGAAATATATTTACTATTCATGAAGTGGAAGTGGATTATCGTAAAGGTCTTCCTCCTCGTTGTCTTCATGTTAAGTAGGCTGAGGAGGAGGAGGAAGAGGAGGGATTGGACTTGGCTGTCTCAAGAGGTGGCAGATGCAGAAGAAAATCCGGGTGTACGTGGGCCCATGCAATTCAATCTCATGTTGTTCAAGGGTCAACTGTATTCTGCTTTTATTGCATAAATTGTTCTACCAGTGTTCATTAGGTCAAGACAGCTGGTAGTATTGTTTATGTCTTCTATATTCTTACTGATTTTCTGCCTACTTGTTCTATTGGTTTCTGAAAAAGATAGTTGATGTCGTCAACTATGATCGTGGACTTTATCTTTTAGGTTTTGCCTCATGTGTTTTGAAGCCTCATTGTTAGTTGCATACATATTTAGATTAAGGATTGTTTTCTTGGTGAATTTACCTCATCTTTTTTTCTTTTTCTTTTTTTTTTTAAGAGATGGGGTCTTGCTATTTTGTGCAGGCTGGATTTGAACTCCTGGGCTCAAGCAATCCTCTTGCCTCAGGCTTTTGAGTAGCTGGGATTGCAAGCATACATCACTGCGCTCATCTTTACCTCCTTATCATTAGGAAATGTTCTTCTGTATAGATGGCAGCAATATTTGTTTTGACATCTACTTCATCTGATATTAATATAAGTACTCCACCTTTCTTTTGCTTTTGTGTAATATATCTTTTCCCATCATTATACCTTTAACCTATGCCAATTATATTTAAGTGGATATTCTTTTAGACAGCATATAGTCAATTCTTGTTTTTCTGTTATTCATTAGAAAATACGACTTAATGTAATGGGTAGCCCGTTTTCATTTAATGTACTTAATGACATACTTGGGTTTAAATATACAATCTTGCTGTTTGTTTTTTTTTTCTTTGTTCCTTTTTTTCTCTTTGTCTGCCTTCTTTTGGATTTGTTGAATATTTTATGGTTCCATTTTATCACTGCTATTGTCTTCTTGTATGTCTGTTTTATTGTTTGGAGGTTGTTTCTAGAGTTTGCAGTACACATGTTTAACTTAGTCTACCTTGAGTCATAACCAATTCTCATACAACAGCATATTTCTGTTTCCTCCATCTATTCTTTAGGCTATTATTTTCTTACAGTTTACTTTCACATATGTTAATAAACACCACAATACATGGTAATGGTAATTAGATTTTGCTTTAGATAATTATATTTTAAAGTGGTTGAAAATGCTACACATTAACCATTATTAGCACTCTCCATTCCTTTACATAGACTATGCTTCTACCTGCCGTCATTGTTTTCTTGATTATAAGGCTCCTTTAACTCCACTTCCACCTCCCTGGGTTTGGAAAAATTCATGGAAAAATGTGTTTGAAGGAATACAGGATTGGGAAATGAAGGAAATGGGACATTTCAGAATGGGAAAACAATGTGAGAAAAAAAAGTAGTAACAAGAGAAGTGAATGAAGATATGCTGACTGGAGGAACTGGGAATCTGTGGTGGATAGAATCTGGATGTAAACAGCGGACAGGTGGCCTGTGAATACACTGCGGCTTCTTGAAAGTCGACCTCGTATGTTTGCTTGATCCACTTAACAGAACTGTAGATGCTGAAGTAAGGAAATGACACGCAGCAACTGGATTTTTTCAAGTTTTGTTGGAATAGACTCTTATGGAGAAGAGCCTGGAAAAGGGAATCTCATTAAGAGACTACTGCAGTAATACAGTGTTAAGTGACAGAGCTCTTACTAAAGCAGAACATAGGCAACAAAGGGAAAGGAAGTGTGAATTCCATAGAAATTATCAAGAAATTGAGGACTCCTATTTTAGTCTGATAATACTGGGGAAAATACTGGGAGAAAGTTTAAGGAAGAGGATTATAGCTGGTTTTTGGTAATTAATTTCAGATAGAATTGTCTAATGGCTAGAAATATAGCACTTCTGGGAGTTAAAATGGAAATAAATATGTCTGGAAATTCAGAGTTTAATTAGAGCTGTGGAAATGATTAAGGAGGAGAGGGCTAAGGAAATGGATAGGAGAGAGGGAAGAGAAAATTTGAAAGGGAAGTCAGGAGGGAGGGAAGCAGTGAGAATGTGGAAGGTTGGGATTGAGTGCTGGAAAATATTCATGGTCAATAATGGAAGTTGGTTTGAGGACACATTTTTGCAAGGTGTATCAAGATCATTTGTGAAGCATCGTGCCAGAGTTGAAGTGGAACTTTCCTGAGTTGTGACTTTCTACTTTCTGGTTGAGATATTCAGCCTGAAGAGTTCGGTGATTGATGGCAGTTACGCAGAGGTTAATGATTGTAAGCTACTGCTTTACAAGTGAAGCAAGGCCAGAGGAGTAGAACAGATGCACCAGCGGAAGAGAGATGAAAGGCTGAAAATAGGTTTCTATTTGATACTTCCCTTATCACACTCAAATAATGGCCCACTTTTAAACTTGGGGTCAAAGAAAGATGTGTTCCAAATACCTGCTAGACATTCTGATGGCTAAGCCTTACAATTAGTGTCTTCTTTTGGTCATGAGGCATTGTACTTAGGATATAAAAACACAAACAGCTGTCAAAACCAGTGTTATTTCTGGCATAAAATGTATACAGTTAAAGCTTTAAAAGCCTTCAAATTGGGTTAGGAAATATAACTAGATGTTCCTTACAAAAAATCTCACCTAGAATAAAATTACACAGCAAACTGGAAAAAATAAGAATGAGGAAAAGCTTAATCATCAAATGACACAAAAAGTAAACAGAGGCAACAATAATAATTTGAGGCTAAGTAGATTTCAGATATTAAACGTGATAAGTAGATCATGTGTAGCATAAATGAGAAACATATTTATTTGCACCAAATAACAGCATCTATATGCACAAAACAAACACTATTAAAAATGCAAGAATTAACTCAAGATGGATTGGAGACATAAATGTAAGACCTGAAACCATAAAAAATTCTAGAAGAAAACCTATGAAAAATTCTTCCGGAGATTGACCTAGGCAAAGAATGTGTGACTTAAGTCCCCAAAAGCAAATACAGTAAAAACAAAAATAAATAAATGGGGCTTAATTAAACTCACAAGCTTCTGCACAGCAAAAGAAATCATCAACAAAGTAAATAGACAACTTACAGTTTGGGAGGAAATATTTGCAAACTTTACTTCTGAAAAAGGGCTAATACCCAGAATCTTATAAAGAACTCAAATCAGCAAGAAAAAATTCAAATAATTCCATTAAAAAGTGGGCAAGCAACATGAATACACATTTCTCGAAAGAAAATATGTGCAAATGGCCAACAAACATGGGAAAAAATGTTCAACATCACAAATCATCAGGAAACTACCAAATAAAACCACAGTGAGATACCATTTTACCCCAATCAGAATGGTCATTTTAAAAAAGTCAAAAAACAATAGATGTTAATGTAGATGCGGTAAAAAGGGAATGCTTACATGCTGTTGGTGGGAATGTAAATTAGTACAACCTCTGTGGAAAACAGTATGGAGATTTCTCAAAGAACTACTAGTAGATGTACCATTCGATCCAGGAATTCCACTAGTAGGTATCTACACAAAGGAAGTCATTCTATACAAAAGGATACATATACTCATATGTTTATTGCAGCACAATTCACAATTGCAAAGATAGGGAATCAACCTAAGTCCTCATCAGCCAATGAGTGGATAAAGTAAATGGGATGTGCACACAGACACACCTTGGAATATCACTAGCCATAAAAAAGAACAAAATAATGTATTCTGCAGCATATAGATGGAACTGAAGGCCATTATCCTAAGTGGGGTAACTCAGGAACAGAAAATCAAATACTGCATGTTCTCACTTAGAAGTTGGAGCTAAGCTATGGGTATGCAGAGGTCTACAGAGTAGTAGAGTGGACACTGGAGACTCAGAGTGAGGGGAGGATGGAAGAGGGAGGTGAGGGATGAAAAGTCACCTGTTGGGTACAACGTACACTATTTGGGTGATGGGTACACTAAAGCCCAGAGTTTACCATTATACAATTCATCCATGTAACCAAAAACCACTGTACCCCTAAAGCTATTGAAATTTTTAAAATATATTTTAAAATAATTTTAAAATATATTTTAAAATTATTTTAAAATTTTAAATATATTTTAAAATATATTTTAAAATTTTTAATTTTATATTTTAAAATTTATGCAAGGGAGCTGATAGAAATACACTTACTTAACATGTCTAGAGGTTTATCAGTTCATTGATATTTACAAAGATCTGGCTTTTGCTTTTGTTAGTTTTTCTCCATTGATTTTCTGTTCTCTGTTTCATTGATTTCCGCTCTAATTTTAATTATATCTTTTCTTCTCCTTACTTTGGATTTAATTTTCTCTTTTTCTAGTTTTGTAACCTGAAAGCTTAGATTATTTGTTTTCGATCTTTTCTAATTTGTGCACTCAATGCTATAAATTTTCCTCTAAGCATTATTTTAACTGTATCTCACAAATTTTGATGTTTTATTTTCATTTAGTTACAAATAGTTTTAAGTTTTATTGAATTATTTAATATGTGTGTTGTTTAGAAATGTGTTGTTTAGTCTACAGGTATTTTGGAGCTTTCCAGCTATCTTTCTGTTACTGATTTCCAGTTTAATTTCATTGTGGTCTGAGAGCATACTTTTATATGATTTTTAAAAATTTGTTAAAGGTGCATTTTATGGCCCAGAACATGGTCTGTCATGATGAATGTTCTGTGTGAGAAGAGAAGAGTTACATATTCTGCTTTTCTTGGATAAAATATTCCATAATGTTGATATTAAATCCAGTTGATTGATGGTGCTGTTTAGTTCAGTTATGTCCTTAACTGACTGGGGGGACATGTTGATGTGTCCAACTATAATAGTAGAGTCATCTGTTTCTCCTTCCAGTTCTATCAGTTTTTGCCTCACGTATTTTGATTCTGTTGCTAGACACATACACATTAAGGACTGTTATGTTTTCTTGGAGAATTGGCCCAGGTATCATTATGTAATGCCCCTCTTTATCTCTGATAGTTTTCCTTGCCCTACTTTGTCTTAAATTAATATAGCTCCTCCCACTTTCTTTAAATTACTATGAGCATGCCTATCTTTTTTCCATCCCTTTACTTTTAATCTATCAGTGTCTTTATATTTAAAGTGGGTTTCTTGTAGACCATATAGTTAGATCTTGTTTTTTTTATCTACTCTGACTGTCTCTGTCTTTTAGCTGATGTCTTTAGACCACTGACATTAAAAATGATAATTGATACAGTTGGATTTCTTACAGGTTTTTTTGTTTTTCTTTTTGTTTTTGGAAACGGAGTCTCGCTCTGTTGCCCAGGCTGGAGTGCAGTGGCACAATCTGGGCTCACTGCAAGCTCCGCCTCCCGGCTTCACACTATTCTCCTGCCTCAGCCTCCCGAGTAGCTGGGACTACAGGCGCCCACCACCACGCCCGGCTAATTTTTTGTATTTTTAGTAGAGATGGGGTTTCACCATATTAGCCAGGATGGTCTCGATCTCCTGACCTCGTGATCCGCCCACCTCAGCCTCCCAAAGTGCTGGGATTACAGGCGTGAGCCACCGCGCCCGGCCTTCTTACAGTTTTTTATCCATTGCCCTTGCTGTTTCTTTGTGTGTGTGTGTATCCCATTTTTATTCTGCCTTCTCTGGTTTAATTGAGCATTGTATAAGGCAACATTTTTCCCTCTCATAACATATTAATTGAATAAATTATGCTTTTTTAACTTTTTTTAACTGCCAGCCCTTGAGTTTGAAGTATACACTTATAACTAATTCAAGTCCTCTTTTAAATAGCACCATTCATTTCACAGATAGTACAATTGCCATAGGTACTTTGCTCTTGTGTAGAATATTCTATAAATGTCAGTGATAGAATTGGCTAATAGTGTTAAGTCTTCTGCATCTTTACTGATAGCTTAATGGCTTGCTTTTATCAGTTACTAAGAGAGAAGTGAAACCTTCAACTATAATTATGGCGTTGACTATTTCTGTTTATAGTTCTATCAGTTTTGACATTTTTTTAGTTCCATGTGTAGATGCACCCAAATTGTAGTATTGTTATATCTTTTTGGTAGTTTTACCTCTTCATTATTTTGGTTAACCAATTTATTGGTGTAAAGATTACAACGGAAATAAATGAAATCGATAATTGAAAAGCAATAGAGAATAATGACCGAAACCGAAAGTTGGTTATTTGAAAAATCAGCAAAACTGACAAAACTTTAAATGGATTGACTAAGGAGGAAAAAGAGAAAAATGAAATACTGAATCAGAAATGAAAAAAGATATTACTCCTGACTTGAGAGAAATAGAAAGGGTTATAAGATGATACTCTGAAGAAGTGTATGCCACCAAGTTGAGTAACCTAGATGAAATGGACACATTCCTGGAAATACACAAATCACCAAAATGACTTAAGAATAAATTGAAAATCCAAATAGACCCCGTAACTCTTAAAGAAATAAAATCACTAATCGCAAACCTCCCACCAAAGAAAAGCCCAGGGCCAGTTGGCTTTACTGGGGAAGTCTACCCAACACTTAAAGAAAAATTAATGCCAGTCCTTCTCAAACTCTTCCAAAAATTTGAAGAGGAGTGAACACTCTCTCACTTGCTCTATGAAGGGAGCATTATCCTGATGTCAAAACTAGAGGCATTATAAGAAAAGAAAACTACAGACCAATGTCCCTAATGAATACAGATGCAAAATTTCTTAACAATACTAGCAAACCATTCAGCAGTATAATTAAAGGATTGTACACCTTAACCAAGTAGATTTATTCCAGGAATGCAAGGATGTTCAACGTATAGAAATTAATCAGTGTAATGTCCCACATTAATAGAATGAAGGAGAAAACTTGCATGATCATTTCAACTGATGGGCAGCATTTGACAAAATTCACTCCTTTATGATAAAAACAGTAAAAAGAAAAAAAAGCTAGGAATAGAAGGAAACTGCCACAACATTATAAAGGTCATATATGAAAAATTCTTGGAAAGACTGTCCTTTAAGGGATCATTTCTATAGTTTGGAAAACCCTCAGCTCACATTATATTCAATGGTGAAAGACTGAAAGTTTTTCCCCTGAGATAAGGAAGAAAACAAAGATACCACTTTCAACATTTCTGTTAACGTGACACTGGAAGCTGTAGCCAGAGGAGTTAAATAAGAGAAATAAAAAGCAATCAAATTTGCAAGGAAGAAATAAAACTACCCCTACTAATAGGTGACATGATCTTATATGTAGAAAACCCTAAAACATACACACACACGTGCCACACTTGTGCTTAGAACTAATACATTCAGTAAAGTTGCAGGATGCAAAAGCAAGCTAGAAAATACATTGTATTTCCATATACTAGCTATCAACAATGTAAAATTGATCTTAAGAAGATCAATTTCATTTAAAATAGCATCAAAAAATGTCTTAGGAATAAATTTAACCAAGGAAGCACAAGACTTATACACTACCGACTACAAAACATTGCTGAAAGAAATAAAAGAAGACATAAATGAATGGAAAGACATCTCATGTTTATATATTGGATATTTAATTTAAGATGAGAGTACTCAAAATGATAATACAGATTCAGTGCAGTTTTTTCTTAATCTTATGGTAGAATACTATTCAAGAATAAAAAACAACTCAAATTTATAAGTATCAATATTGATAAATCTCAAAAAACAAACACAGAAAAACAAAATACTGAGGATATTTACAGAATACCGTACTACAAAAACTGAAAATGCACCATAAAAAGCATTGTATTTATGACAAAATATATATATGGGAGAAAACTATAAAAACTTGCATGCAAATGATATGAAGTAACTTCAGGACAATATTTGCTTGAATCATAGGTGATTGCCATTCTCACAGGTTAAAATGGTTGAACATTTCCAGGTGCAGTGACTCATTCCTGTGATCCCAGCATTTTGGGAGGCCAAGGTAGGAGGATTCCTTGAGCCCAGGAGTTCAAGACCAATGGCAAAACCCCACCTTTACCAAAAATAACAAAAAATTAGCCGGGCATGGTGGTGCACGACTGTAGTCTCAGCTACTCAGGAGGCTGAGGTGGGAGGATCATTTGAGCCCAGGAGATCAAGGCTGCAATGAGCTGTGATCACACTACTGCTCTCCAAGCTTGGGTGACAGAACGAGGCCTCATCTCAAAAGATAGAGAGAGGGATGGATAGATAGATAGATAGAATGGTTGAACATCAATGAGTAGGAAGAAGGTAGGTATTTAGCAGTAACTATTTTACATCTGAAAAAAACAGATGTTTGAAAATACATATAGTACAATGTTAACATCCATTAGATTTGGTTATCTTATTTTCTACTCTTAATGCTTAAACTAGTTCTTTTTTTATTTTCAATTCAAGTGTAAGTTAAAAGAAATAGAACACCAAGCTTAGGCTACTCAAGAAAATTGAAGAGTAGTAATGACCCCTTTGTCATTTCTGATTGTGTTTATTTGGATCATCTCTCTTTTTCAGTTATTCTAGCTAGCAGTCTATTTTGTTAATTCTTTCAAAAAACCAACTCCTGGATTTGTTCATCTTTTGTACTTTTTCTGCATTTCAATTTCCTTCAATTCCGCTCTGATTTTGGTTATTTCTTGCCTTCTGCTAGCTTTGGGGTTGCTTTGCTCTTGTTTCTCTAGCTCTTCTAGTTGTGATGTTACATTGTTAATTTGAGATCTTTCTAACTTTTTATGTGGGCGTTTAGTGCTATAAACTTCCTTCTTAACACTGCCTTAGCTGTGTCCCAGAGATTCTGGTATGTTGTATCTTTGTTCTCATTTGTTTCAAAGAATTTCTTGGTTTCTACCTTAATTTCATTATTTACCTAAAAGTAATTCAGGAACACGTTGTTTAATGTCCATGTAATTATATGGTTTTGAGAGAGTTTCTTAGTATTGATTTCTGTTTTTATTGTGCTGTGGTCTGAGAGTGTGGTTGGTATGATTTCAGGTTTTTAAAAATTTGCTGAAGTTAAACCATCCATGTTTGCAGACAGTATGGTTCTATATACCTAAACAACCCGATTTTCTCTGCCCAAAAGCTCTACAATCCAATAAACAACCTAACAAAAATTGACAAATTAACATAAGCAATATCTCAGGATACAAAATCAATGTACAAAAATCAGGATTCCTATGCAACAACAACATCTAAGCTGAGAGCAAAATCAAGAATGCAATCCTATTCACAATAGCCACAAAAAGAATAAAATACCTAGGAATACAGCTAACCAGGGAAGTGAAAGATCTTTACAATGAGAACTACATAACACTGGTCAGAGAAATCAGAGATGACACAAACAAATGGAAAAACATTCCATGCTCATGGTTGGGAAGAATCAATATTGTTGAAATGGCCATACTGCCCACAGCAGTTTACAGATTCAGTGCTATTCTTATTCAAACTACCAAGGACAGTCTTCACAAAATTAGAAAAAAAAACCAAACTATTTTTAAATCCATGTGGACCCGAAAAAGAACCCGAATAGCCAAGGCAATACTAAGCAAAAAGAACAAAGCCAGAGACATTACATTACGCAACTTTGAACTATACTGCAGGCTATAGTAACCAAAACAGCATGGTAATGGTACAAAAACAGACACATAGACCAATGGGACAGAATAAATAGCCCAGAAATGTCACACAGTTACAGACATCTGATCTCTGACAAAGTCAACAGTAAGAAGCAATAGGGAAAGGACTCCCTCTTCAATAAATGATATTGCGATAACTGGCTAGCCATATGCAGAGAAGGTGGAAACTGGACCCCTTTCTTACACCATATACAAAAATCAACTCGAGATAGATTAAAGACTTAAATGTAAAACCTAAAATTATAAAAAATGCCATATAAGATAACCTAGGAAATACCATTCTGGACATAGACCTTGGCAAAGACTTCATGACAAAGACTCCAAAAGCCATTGCAACAAAAACAAAACTTGACCTAATTAAAGAGCTTCTGCACAGCAAAAGAGACTATCAGCAGAGTAAACAGACCTCTGCAGAATGGGAGAAAATATTTGCAAACTATGCATCTGACAAAGGTCTAATATTCAGAATCTATAAGGAATTTAAACAAATTTACAAAAAAAAAAAAAAAAGCTCCATTACAAAGTGGGCAAGGGACATGGACAGACACTTCCCAAAAGAAGACATACATGTGGCCAACAGGCATATGAAAAAATGCCTAACATCACTAATCATTAGAGAAATGTAAATTAAAACCACTGTGAGATACCATCTCACACCAGTCAGAATGGCCCTCATTACAAAGTCAAAAAATAACAGATGCTAGCAAGATTGTGAGAAATGGGAACACTTATACACTGCTGGTGCAAATGCAAATTAGCTCATCCACTGTGGAAAGCAGTTTGGCAATATCTCAACTCAAAGCAGAATTACCATTTGACTCAGCAGTCCCATTATTGGAATGTAAATTCTTCTGCCATAAAGACACATGCACACATATGTTCATTACAACACTGTTCATAATAGCAAAGACATGGGATCAACCTAAATGCCCATCAATTACAGATTGGATAAAGAATGTAGTACAGATACACCATGGAATACTATGCAGTCATCAAAAAGAACAAGATCATGTCCTTTGCAGCAAAATGGATGGAGCTGGAGGCCATAAGCCTAAGCAAACTAACACAGGAACAGAAAACAAAATCCCGCATATTCTCACTTACAAGTGGGAGCTAAACATTGAGTACGTATCAACACAAAGAGAGGAAGAGCAGACACCAAGGCCTACTTGAGGGTGGAGGGCAGGAGGAAGGTGAAGATCAAAAAACGACCTACCAGGTACTGTGCTTATTATCTGGGTGATGGAATGACATGTACACCAAACCCCCCCATGATATGCAGTTTTCCTATATAACAAACCTACGTGTGTGCCACTCAACCTAAAATTTAAAAAATAGAGAAAATTGAAGAGTTAAGAAAGGAGCAGTAGCTAAAGGGAGCATGTAGAATGGGTGATATTTATTTCATACACTCAGGAATGATCCAAAAGGGAGTGTGAAATTGGAGCTACATAGAAACAAGTAATATTTAAGATAAAAACATACAGATAGTAAGATGTAAAGTGAGTAAATACAGAAAAAAATGTAAGATCTCTGAAGCATAGCTAACCTATAGAAAGGAGGTGGGATACCCTTGTAGTGACATCAATTGGAAAGAAGTAAGACGCCCACCAGAGCAGATGTGTTTATAAGCATTTAGGCAGAAAGTTATGGTATTTAGGCAGAAAGTTATGGTAGTTTCTGACTGAAGGCCTCAAATTCTCTCTCTCTCTCTCTCTCTCTGTGTGTGTGTGTGTGTGTGTGTGTGTGTGTGTGTGTGTGTGTGTGTGTGTGTGTGTGTGTGTGTGTTTTAAGAGATGGAGTCTTGCTGTAATGCCCAGGTTGGAGTGCAGTGGCACGATCACAGCTCGCTGCAGCCTCGAATTCCTGGCCTTAAGGGATCCTCCCGAATAGCTGGGCCTACAGGTATAAGTCCCACCATCTTTATGGCAGAAGTTCTGCCTTCTTATTAAGAGTGAGAAGAATGTTTTATGGTTGATATTAGAAGTTTTAAGACAGTGACTGTCACATGTAGGGATAGGCTCAGAGGGAGCTAGAGAGAAACCCAAGTAGGGACCTATAAAGAGGTACCGATTGCTGGAGGGCCCAGCTGAGGTTGAAAATCCCAAAGCCCAATTTTATGCTGACTGCTAAAGCCTTGTTCCTCGAAAGAAAAAATTATAATGATTATAAAACATAATTATATAAGTATTATATAAAGCACAACTTAGAAAAGATTTAAGAGGTATTCTAGGAAGATTGATTTAGAATGTTTGGATTATTTTGAAATGGATCTTAATACTTATTGCATTCCTACTTATCTTTCAGAGATTTCCTTCAGAAAAGAAGAAAAAATCTTGCCTCTAGAGAGTAATTTAGGTACTTTATAGTTTATTTTGGTCACTTGGTTGATACTCATTTCAATAGGATGGCAACTGATTACATAAGTAATATTTTTATCTATCATGTGCAAGGCACAGAGAGGCCTCAATGAAATAATGTCTCCTCTGAAAGGGCCTAAGTGAATCTTCCAGACCTTACTATATTAATTTTAAGTGTTTCGGTTTATTCATTAAACATCTGTGTTTCTGTTTGAAGATTAATCTTCATATCTGTCCCAGATTCTAAGTTAGGACTCTTAGTATTTATTATTTTCTTACGTATTTGCTGTTTCCAGTGTTATTCTTTTGTTAATTTTTTATTGAGATAATTCACCCTTTAAAGTATACACTTCCATGGTTTTTAGGGTCTTGACAGACTTATGCAACCATCACCGCTGTCTAATTTGAGAACACTTTCATTTCTTCATTTTTTTTTCTTAAAGATCCATGTTTTCGTCTGGAATAATTCCTGTTCAGTCTAAATTTTTTTTTTTTTTTTTTTTTTTTTTTTTTTTTTTTAACCATTTTTTGTAGTGCAGCTGGCAAAAAATTTGTTTTCTTTTATGGGATGATGTCTTTATTTTGCCTTCATTCTTAAAGGATATTTTTACTGAATATAAAATTGTGGGTTGATAGTTTAGTGAGTACATATTTAAATATTTCTTCCTTGCAAGTCATGTGGTATATTTCACTGGCTGTTTTCAAGATATTTTTGTTTGTGTGATGGCTTTGTAATATGTCAGTTGACTAGACTGAGCCACCTTTCCCAGGATTCCTTTTGCTATTTAAGATTCTCGTGGGAGATTTGGAGGATAGACGTGACGGAACAGCCATTTTGTAGCTCATTCATGTTGTCTGCTAGACCATCTTATTGGTACGTGGCAGTGGTCAGGCCTGCATCAGCTCCACCTCCTCCTGCATCCTGTTAGCCCTTGAGCCTACTTCTGGGCTGGAGTGTGTGTTTAGCTCCATGATGAAAGTCCCAGCTTTTGCAGGATATCCACACCAGCAAGGTCAGGCGGTACGAATTAACACGGGTTTCAGTCTATCCTCCTGGGCTCCAGCTTGTGCTTCTAGATTCCATTTCATCTTTCCTCTCCTGGCTTTGCTTGCATCTTCGCTTCTCAACTTACTGTCCTATGGACATGAAGCCTCAGCAGTGAACTTGGAGACAACAGCCTTACAGAGACAACATAACTAGCTCCCACAATCAGGGAAATTCAGTTACCTGTAATCTCTTTACACACACACAGAGTAGTTCTGCTTCTCTCATGGAACCGTGACAGACTCTGGTTTTAAGCCTTTTGACTATAATGTGTTTAGGTGAGGTTTTCTATTTATTCTGCTTGGAGTTGCCTGAGCTTTTTGAATCTCTTGCATATCCTTCTTTAACTTTGGAAAACTTTTAGCCATTATTTCTTGAAATATATTTTCTGTCTTATTATCTATCTCTCCTCCTCCCCCTCCCTCCCTCCCTCCCTCCCTCTCCCTCTCTCTTTCTTTCTTTCTTTCTTTCTTTCTTTCTTTCTTACTTTTGGAAGTTGTCCAACAGGTATGAAGTTCTGCTTGTTTTTTCACATTGTTTTCCTGTGCTATTCAAATTGGATAATAATCTCTGCTGGTATATCAAGTTTACTGACTCTTACATAATCTCCAATGTGCTCCAAGCCCATAGAGAGAATTTCTTATTTCAGATATTTTATTTTTTTTTATTTTAGGTTTTTCCATTTGGTCCTTTTCCTAATAGTTTCTGTGTCTCTGCTGAGATTTTCAACTTTTTTACTCATGAACATATTTTACTTTACGTCATTGAAGATAATTATAAAGTTGCTTTAAAGTCTTTGTCTACTAATTTCAACATGAGATCATCAGAGCATCAGTTTCCTTTGATGTCTTTTTCTAGTGTATGGGTTCTGTTTCCTTTGTTTTTTTAATGCTGAGTCATTTTGGAATATATCCTGGGCATTGTGACTGGTATTTTGTGCCTCTGAATTCGGTTAGGTTGCAGCAAAGAATACTGAATTTTTTATTTTCTTAGGCCAGTCATCATGGATGAACTCAAACTGCAAACGCTTTCTTTTTTCCAGTGGGTTAAGATTCCAGGCTGGTTTATTTAGACTTCACTAGGAGGCTTGGAGCCTGCCCTGTGCATGTGTGGTTCAAGAGTCAGAGATCTGGGCAGACTTTATACTGAGATTTTAGGGCTTCTTCTCTTTGGCTGCCTCTTTTCTGGAATTTCACCTCCTTCACTTAAAAGCTGCTGTACTTGTTCAAGCTCTGTCCTCTGATTGTTCATGGCAGTAGAACTGTGGGTTTCTAATTTAAGATTTTTACCCTAAATGGCATAAGCTGGGGCCCACCTTCAGGCAAAAAGCCGTAAAAATGAGAAATTCATTTGGTGCCATTCCTTATTCCTAGTGCCCACCTCCTCTTTAGTACCTGCCTGTTTTTAGTTGCTTCCCAGAACCTTTAGATTGTTTTCATGTCTTTCTCCTGAGGTTACAGTTATATGGAGGAGGGTTAATCCAATCGGAGCTGCTTGACCATGATTGTAAGTGAAACTGAGTATTTGTTCTTAATTATGCATTATTGCATGCCAGATGTACACCTTTTCTTCATGTGGCACAGCAGTGTTTTGTATTCATGCAAGGAAGTATCTCACAGATTCACGTTTGTGCAACCTTCTAAAGAGCTTGTGTGAGAGAGCTTATTTAAACAGTGTGAATTACCAGTGAATGTTATGGTTAGTTCAGTGCAGCCAAAACATAATTCATGGCTGTTCCCCTTCTCTTTTGTCCCAATTCTCAGTAACAAATTCAGACCTCTTTTTAGAGAACGTGTAATTTCATTACCTTTTGACAATGCCTTTTAGACTTCACTAGGGAGCTTGGAGGCTTCCCTGTGCATGCATGGTTCAGGAGTCAGCAGAGGCTGGTGCCTGGTATGTATGGTTCAGGAGTCAGCAGAGGCTGGTGCTTGGTGTTTGGCACCAGTGGCCAAAACACCAAAGAACCTCCTGTGAATATTTTCTTGTCTTTACTCACCAAATATTTAGTGCTTTTCTGTAAGTCATGCACAACATAATGATGCTTCAGTCAACACACCGCATATACCACAGTGGTTCCATAAGATTATAATAGCGTATTTCTACTGTACTTTTTCTACATTTAGATACACAAATACTTACCATTGTGTTGCAGTTGCCTACCGTATTCAGCACTGTAACGTGTACAGGGCTGTAGCCTAGGGCAGTAGGCCATCCCATATGGCCTAGGTGTGTTGTAGGTTACACCATCTAGGCTTGTATGTAAGTACTCTCCATGATGTTTGACAATGACACAATCAACTAACATGCATTTCTCAGAAGAGACCCCTGTCATTAAGTGACACATGACTGTAGTTTATGGTAAGTATTGTGCCAACAGCTAGCCTTGCAGAGATAGCTAAGATAAAGTCCCTGTCTTCAAACGGTTGCTTACAGTTTAGTAGAAGAGACAGATAAATAAGCAGGCGATTTACATTTTCATGTGATGCGGGTTGTGTTTCAGAGGTGGTAGAAGTATTTCAGAGGTTGCCTGACCCAGATTTTAAGAGTAAAGGACCTGTTATAGAAGCTGCAGTTAGGATTGGATTAAAATTAATTGGGTGGTGGTTGATATTGTGATGCTTTAGTATGACTTTAGTATGAATATTTAGGGGCTCAGTGTTTTCTTCATCTTAAAATGAGGGGATTGGACTAGATCTATAAGATTATTTTCAATGTGAATATTTTGTCAGTTTAAAGACACATTGAAGAGATGCTCAAAAAACATACTTCTTTTTTCTTTTTAGGGAATAGAGTATTTCAGATCATTTAAAGTCCTGTTTGAGAGTTTACCAGGCTAACAGGAAGTACTACTTGTGATTTCTTTGCCTGTTCCTGTTCTGATGTTTAGCTGCCCAGTACAAACCTGCAAGGGGAGCCTTGGATATCCAATTGGTTTCTGAAAGGTGTGTGTGTGTGTGTGTGTGTGTGTGTGTGTGTGTGTGTGTGTGTGTTCGTCCTTTTTGGAGCCAGAGCTTCAAAACATAGCTTGCATCTTCTGTGTCCTTCATAAAATTCCAGTTGGTTTCCTGCATTCACTTAATTAGTACAGCACCTGGGCATAGTAGCTCTGGATAAATACAGGTTCTTTTCTCCAATAGCTTCCTTGCAGAACATAGAAATTGCTGCCTGCCCCTATGCCTCAAATTGACCTTCTACCTCTTCCTCCTCAGCTTTTAAAGCCCCTATCTTTCCTTCTCACCACAAGTTCATCCCCCAACCCAAATGTTCCCTATCACTGGGTCTCTCCAGCATTCATCTGGTGTGGTATTAAGAGAGTGGCTGTGGCTGTCAGTGCTAGAACCTGGACAGAGAGAGAGAGAGGGTCTTGGTCACGTCATCTTTACAGAAATATAATAGGAATTTCTCTATAAAAATAATAGATACTTGTTAGAAGCTTTAATGTTATATTTTTTATTTATTTCTGGTTTAATAGACCTTAATGTTACTGCCTAGTAACCTACCTACATTATATAGCCTTTCTGTGTATGTGTGTGTATCTATTGAAACAGGTCCCAAGTTTTTTCCAGTTTATATGTAGGCTGCATTTTTCTTTTCTTTTCTTTTTTAAATTTTTGAGCCAGGGTCTCTCTCTGTCACCCAGGGGAGTGCAGTGGCGCAATCACAGCTCACTTCACCCTCAACCTTCCACCTCAGCCTCTCAAGTAGCTGGGATCACAGGCACATGCTACCATACCTGGGTAATTTTTAAATTTTTTTGTAGAGATGGAGTCTCTCTATGTTACTCAGGCTAGTCTTGAACTCCTGGCCTCAAGTGATCTGCCCAACTTGGCCTCCTACATTGTTGGAATTATAGGCGTGAGCCACTGTGCCCAGCCTTACATATATAGGCTTTTATAACAAAATTAGCTTGTAAGTTGGAAATTGCCTTTATGTCATTTCTCCCCAGTCTGCATACTTATTCAACTTTTGCTCATGTTCTTGAATATTTCTAAGAGAAATAGTGATTAATGGCTGCCACACTGCTGATGTTGGACAGAGCCTATAAAATCAGCTGAAGAAGGGAGAAAGTAGATTGTTTCACTAGGCTCTTAGTGAAGTTCTGATAGTTATAATAAATGCAACTTGTCCTTTAACACTACTAGGTGCAAAATCTTTTTGTTACCCTCTCATGCCTTTTAAAAAGGCTCCCAGTGTTTCACTAATGAGAGCCCTTTTGTTGTAATTTATAGGTGAATCCTCTCCAGGTATAACTGAGATCTTCAAATAATGTATCGTATCTATGGATGTTTGTGAATAACATCACCTGGGCATAAACCTACAGTCAATAGGATGAGTGCTTATGAAGTTATTTTTGAATGAGAAAATTTATCACAGAAAAGAAAATACAAGTTCCAGTTTCTGGGGATTACTTTTTAAAGTAATGCAAATCATCCATATCATGTGTTAACAAACCCCTCAGAATTCCAACAAGGAAAGCAGATGTATTAATTAAACATTTAATGTCTTTTATAGTTAAAGTACTCATTTTGGCAGGTCTAATATTACGATACAATAGTGGTATATTAATTTGTTATATACCTTGGGCCCCTTGGTACATTTTATGTAGGCACAAGATTAACAGCATGAACTTCAATTATTACTGTGTAGTTTTGTAAAAATGAAATATAATTATTTTAGTTTCTAGTTTTATGTCAAGAAGAATTCATTGGTATGGCACAGCTTAGCATACAAAGTAACTAAATAATGTATGCCACATACCCATTAGTTTTGTTAGAAATAAATCCTCTTTTATACTCCTGCTTTTCCAGTACATGCACACCTACATATACACAAAGCGTGAAGCCAGTATTTAGTAGAGATTAAATAAACCAGAATCTCCACCTATGATTGACTACTTTCTCATGTTGTTTCAGAGAAGTGAAAATTATAGCACCAGATTACTGTCTCTGGGAAATCTAAACATGCAATAGTGTTGGCAATTCTTTACTGCAAACATCTATGTTCACTGGATTTTGGACCCTATATGCCAACACAAAGTGGTGGAAATAACCACAGTTGTTAAGGCAATTAAGATACCACAATCACTGTCCACATCAGCTGTCCCAGAAAGTTTCAAGTTCTCCAGTCTATTTCTTAAGCCCCTGGAAGGAACAATAGAAGAAAGAATATAGATATCTGATAGTAGCACGTGACTTGTTACTAAAAAAGGTCTGTGGAATCTCTTACCTTCAGAGACCTTGGTGTTCATGCATACACTCATGGAATCATTCCAGCCATACCAGAAATACCAAATGTGACTTACTCTAACAACCTTCAGAAAATTATCTCTTTGTTCTTTCATTGACACTTTTAGGAAGATAGTAAATGGTAGAGTGATTTCATAGCATTTAAAATTTGATAAAAGATCAGTGTGGAAAGAATTTAGGGAGCTTCAACGTTGCTGTCACCATACGGACTTGAAGTTGCATATTTTCAGTGAGATGAAATTGATGTCTTGAACCCAGAAACTTTATCCTCTTGTTTAAGATCACTGAATACTACATTTTCTGAAAGCAAATTGGTTTTCAAATAAAGATTTGTTTCAAGTTTAGTGCATTTGTCAGAAAAATATGTTGTTTGCAGTTAATGACACTATAGCTGTTCATTGAGTTGATCCATAAAAGTAGCTGAGATTTACAGAAATATATATGACTATCTTTTCTAAATGGGAATTTACATTCAGTCAGTTGACAGAAATGTTTTGAGAGATGTGGTTAGAGGAAAAGAAGAGATGAAGATACTGGTTTAAAGCTGAAATAGGAAATTAATGTATTTATGTGCTAGGGCTGCTGTAACAAAATACCACAGACTGGGTGGTTTAAACAACAGAAATTCATTTTCTCATATTTCTGGCGAAAGTCCAAGATCAAGGTGCAGGCAGGGTTAGTTTCTTCTGAGGTGTCTGTCCGTGGCTTGCAGATGGCCGTCTTTTCCCTGTGTCTTCATATGGTTTTTCCTTAGTGTGTCTACTTGGGTGTCCAAATTTCCTCTTCTTGTAAAGATACCAGACTGAGTTAAGACATATCCTGATATCTCATTTTAATGCAGTTACTTTTTTAAAGACCTTATCTCCAAATAGAGTCACATTCTGAGGTACTTGGGGTTAGGGTTTAAACATACTAATTTTGGAGGGACACATTTCAACCTATAATAATACAATATTTGAAATTTGTTCAGCTGTTGTTTAAAGTAAATATGAGGGGACTTCAAAAAGTTCATGGAAAATGGTATTAAAAGATAAAAACAGAAAATATAAACTTTATTTCTCAACATAAGCTCCGTCAAGTTCAAGACACTTTTGTAAGCCATGATACCAGCTAGTTAGTTCATCCCTAAAGAGCTGAACATCCTGGTAATTTACCTATATCAGTGCAGTCTTTTTTTTACATTATTAAGTGAAGAAAAACTAATACTCTTTAAAAGCTTTTTTAAGTTTAGGGGAAAAATAAGTCAGAAGGAGCCAAATCAGGACTGTAAGGTGGATGCCTAATGATTTCTCATGAAAGCTCTCATGAAATACCCCTGTTTAATGAGAGGGATTTAGCAGGAGCATTATCTTGGTGGAGGAGGACTCTCTGGTGAAGCTTTCCCAGAAGTTTTTCTGCCAAAGCTTTGGCCAACTTTCTCCAAGTGCTTATAATCAGGTGTTATCATTCTCCTGCCCTCCAGAAAGTCAATAAGCAAAATGCCTTGAGCACCCAAAAAACTGTTGCCATGACCTTTGCCCTTGACCTGTCCAATATTGCTTTGACTGGACCATTTCCACTTCTTCATACCCATTGCTTTATCTTCAGGATTATACTAATAGAACCATGTTTCATCTCCTGTTACAATTCTTCAAAGAAATGCTTCAGGATCTTTATTCCACTTGTTTAAAATTTCCATTGAAAGTTCTGCTCTTGTCTGCAGCCGATCTGGGTGCAATGGTTTTGGCACCCATCAAGTGGAAAGTTTGCTCAACTTAAATTTTTCAGTCAGAATTCTGTAAGCTGAACCAGATGAGATGTCTATGGTGTTGGCTGTTGTTTCTGCTGTTAATCATTGGTCCTTTTGAATTAGGGCACAAACAAGATTAATTTTTTCCCTTGCAAATTGATGTGGATGGTCTGTCGCTGCTGGCTTCGTCTTCCACATTGTCTCATCCCTTCTTAAAATAAGTTATCCATTTTTAGACTGCTGATTTATTTGGGGCATACTTCCCATAACTTTTCATAAAGCATCAGTGATTTAATCATTCTTCCACCCAAGCTTCACCATGAATTTCATGTTTGTTCTTGCTTCAATTTTAGAATTCATGTTGCTCTTACAGGGGCTCTGTCCAAACTGATGTCTTATCCTTCTTAGTCCCTCAAACTTGATCCTGTACAGTCATGTTATAACAAATCAGTATGAGTTAATTTTGGTGCAGAAATTTTTTGAAATCTGTGCATGGTTTTTTCATAATACACATTTTCCATAAAGTTTATGAAGACTACTCAAGAATATTATATATTCTAGAAATTTGTAATGAAATCTGAAGTTGGGGCATTCTGATGATTTTTGTGGGACTGCTTCTGTTCAAGTACTGTGGCAGTTTTTTTTTGTTGTTTGACGAGGTCTTGCTCTGTCACCCAGGCTGGAGTGCAATGGCATGATCTCGGCTCACTGCAACCTCCACCTCCCAGGTTCAAGTGATTCTTCTGCCTCAGCCTCCCAAGTAGCTGGGACTACAGGCATGTGCCACTACACCCAACTAAATTTTGTATTTTTAGTAGAGATGGGGTTTCACCATGTTGGCCAGTCTGGTCTCAAACTCCTGATCTGCCTGCCTCAGACTCCCAAAGTGCTGGGATTACAGGCATGAGCCACTGCACCCAGCCATACTGAGGCAATTTTTTACAAGCCCTACCCGACAATGTTCCCCATATACATAATGTAGGGTCTTTGCTTCCCTACAAATGTTTATATTCCACTGAGTTGTCTTCACCTTCAGGGACAGGGGAAGTGGAAGGGGGAATAATGCTTCCTAGAATGAATATCTTGACTAATGTATAGAGAAACAATCAAAAGCAAAAGTAGTTTTCATTCAAAGCCTTCACATTGTAAATGCTACAGTAAAAAGACCTTGAGATCAAGAAACCTAGGTTTTTGCCGCTCCAGTTCTTATTCGTATAATTTTTGGCAAGCCATTTAACCAGTGTCAGCTTTAATTTCCTGATCTCTAAAAAGGTACACTACATGCTCACTGACGTCTTACTCAGCTGCAAGACTGAATGATTGATTCATTTATTCCGCAAATATTGTTGAATGCTACTATGTGGCAAGGACTGTTTTAGGAGTTGGGAATATCACATTAGTGCAACACAAAGTTCCAGAGGAGACAAGTGGGAAACAAATAGCAAGATGGTAAATTTAATCTTACTCGTATCAATAATCACATTAAATGTAAATGTTCTAAACACCACAATTGAAAGACAGAGATTAGACTTGGTAAAAAGCAAGAACTACCTATATGCTGCTTATAAGAAACCAACTTTAAATGTAAGATATAAGTAGATTAAAATTAATAGAACAGAAAATTATATACTATGCTCAACCTAATCAGAAGAAAACTAGAGTGCTATATTAAATCATATGAAGTAGATTTCAAAGCAAGTAATATTGCTGGAGATAAGGAGGAACATTTCATAATAATTAAGGGAGTCATTTCATCAAGAAGTATTAACCGTCTTAGTTATGCATCTAATAACAAAACAAAATATTTGAAGCAAAAACTAATATAAGGAAAAATAGACACATTTACAGTTACTATTGGACAGTTCAATATCCATCTTCAAATAATTGATACAGCAATTGGAGAGAAATTGGTAAGGTTATATAGCAACTTGGGCAATACTATCAGTCAGCTTGATCTAACTGACATTTATGGAACACGCTACCCAACAGCATAAGAACACTTATTTTTCTCAAGGTCACAGATCATTTATCACAGTGTACCATATGTTGAGCAAAACAACTCCATGAATTTTAAAGGATTTAAGTACTGTAAAACATTTTCTCTTTGAAGGAAATGAAATTAAAAAAACACAGATCTATGGAAAATCCCCAAGTTCTTGGAAACTAAATATTAATCCATGGATCAAAGAAGAAATCAAAGGGAAATGAGAAAGTATTTTGAATGGACTGAAAACGAAAACACAATGTGTTTAGCTGTGATATACAGCTAAAGCAATACTTAAATTTATAGTACTAAATACAATTTATAGTACTAAAAGATATTTTTAAACATTAGAAAAGAAGAAAAGTGTAAAATTAATGACCTTAGCTTCTATCTTAAGAAACTAGGACTGGGCACAGTAGCTCACAACTATAATCTCAGTACTTTTGAAGGCCAAGGTAGAGGAGTTCGAGACTAGTCTGCACAACATAGTGAGATCCCATCTCTAAATAACAAAATATTAGCTGGGCATACTGGTGTGCACCTGTGGTCATAGCTGCTCAGGAGGCTGAGGCAGGAGGATTGCTCAAGGAGGCTGAGGCAGGAGGATTGCTTCAGGAGGCTGAGGCAGGAGGATTGCTCGAGGCCAGGAGTTTTGAGGCTTCAGTGAACTATGATCACATCCCTGCACTCTAGCCTGGGTGACAGAGCCAGATTTTGTCTCTAAAAAACAAGAAAAAGAAAAAGGAATTAGAAAAATAAGAACAAGTTAAACACAGTGTAAGCAGAACAAAGGAAATAAAGATTGGGATAGCAATCAATGAAATAGAAAACAAAAAATCATAGAGAAAATTGATGAAAGGAAAACTGGGCTTTTGAGAAGATCATTAAAATTGATGTATTTCTCACCTGACTGAAAAGAAAAGTGAGAAGACAAATAATAAATGTTGACACTGCTACAGATTCTATTGGTATTAAGTGGATAATATGGAAGCATTATGTATAACTTTATGCCAATAAATTCAACTATTTAGCTGAAATGGACACATATGTTGAAAGATACAAATTACCAAGAAGAAATAGATGTCATGAATAGCCTTGTACCTGCTAAAGAAATTATAGTTGTGGTTAAGATCCTTCTGACAAAGACACCAGACCCACATATTTTCACCAACGAAGTCTACCAAACATTTAAGGAATATTATCAGTTCTATACAAATTATTCCAGAAAATTGAAGATGAGAGAACATTTCTCAGTTCATTCTGTGAGGCAGGTATTAACTTGATATCAATATGCAAGAGATTTTTTTTTTTTTTTGAGATGGAGTCTTGCTCCGTCGCCCAGGCTGGAGTGCAGTGACGCGATCTCAGCTCATGGCAAGCTCCGCCTCCCGGGTTCATGCCATTCTCCCGAGTAGCTGGGACTACAGGCACCTGCCACCACAGCCGGCTAATTTTTGGTATTTTTAGTAGAGACGGGGGTTTCCCATGTTAGCCAGGATGGTCTTGATCTCCTGACCTGGTGATCTGCCTGCCTCGGCCTCCCAAAGTGCTGGGATTACAGGCATGAGCCACCACACCTGGCCCGCAAAGAGATTTTTAAAAGAATGCTATAGACCAATATTCTTAATGAATATATATGCTAAAATGTTTAATTTAATTTTAGCAAATCAAATCTAACAATAGATACAAAGAATCACTACCAGTGTGGTCTGTTCTAGGAATATAAGATTGATTTAACATTCAAAACCAATCACTATAGTTCACCTATTAACAGAGTACGAAGGAAATGATTATATCAAATGATGCAAAGAAAAAACTAAGAAAAATCCATCCTTTTTAAAACTTATTTAAACAAAAAATGAAACGCTCTGAGTGAATTAGGAATTGGGTTTTTTTTTTTTTTAACATGGTAAAGGAAAACAATTTGACAGTTTCTGGAAAAGTCAAATGTATACCTACCATACGGCCCAGCCATTCCACTCCTTAGTATTTGTCCTAAATAAATTAAATCATATGTCTACACAAAGACGTGGACATAAAAGTTAATAGCAATTTTGTTTGTAATTGCCCCAAACTGGGAGCAGGCCCTGTGTTCATTGACAGATGAGTGTGTCCATTGTGATACATCTATGTACTGAAATATTACCCAGCAAAGTGAGTAAACTATTGATACATGTGGTGACATGGATGAATATCAAAGTAATAATGCTAAATGAACAAGCCAGATAAAGAGTACATACTCTATGATCCATTTGCATAAAATTCTTTAAAATACAAGCAAATCAGTCATGGCAGAAAGTATGTCAGTCATGGCCTGCAGGGGATGGGAGGATGGAAGTACACATGGGCACAAGAAGACATTTGAAGTGGTAGATGTTTTCATCATCTTGATTTTGGTGACAGTTTCATGGGTATATACATATGTCAAAACGTATCAGTTGCATGTTTTTTGTTTGTTTTTTTGAGAGGGTTTTACTCGTTCGCCCCGGCCGGGTTGGAATGCAATAGCATAATCTTGGCTCACAGCAACCTCTGCCTTCTGGGCTGAAGTGATCCTTCCACGTCAGCCTCCCAAGTAGCTGGGACTACAGGCGCCCGCTGCCACACCCAGCCCAAGTTGTATATTCTTAATGTGTGCTGTTTAGTGTATGTTAATTACGCATCAATAAACTTTTTTTTAAAGTCCTTGCCCTCGTGGAACTTATATTTTATTGGTGATGAACATTGACAGTAACAAATACATGTATATCATATGTGTGCATGTATACGTGCCTGTGTATCAGATGTCGCAAAGTCTTGAAGAAAAAGCAATGTGAAGATAGAAAGTGAGGGGGAGGATAGCTGTTTAATGTAAGAAGGCGGTCAGGAAAGTCCTCAGTACACGTGGCATTTGAAACAGAGACTATTTTAAGCTCCCCTATAATCTTTTGAAAACTGTGTTAAGATAGGTTTCAGTTTGTTAAAGTTACAGGTCATCATTCTCTCATCTAAAAGGACAAGTTTCCCCTAACTTGAAGGCAAATTTAAATTTTTGACATCACAAAGAACCAGATGAAAAGGATGGGGCAGAGGTGAGCAAACCTACTCCTAGTGCCCAAGAGAAGCCGATTCCAGCCACAGGAATTTCTTGTGGTTAACTTCTGATTGGAAAGATAAAGACCTATTTTGTGAACATCTGTAGAATAGTAAATCAGAAAAACCCAACCAGAATTCCAGTCTTCCCGTTTTCTGCCAGATAGGGGCAATTACCCCCTTGGTTTTCTAAAAAAAATAAAAAAAACAAAATTGTTCCAGCCTCTGTCACCTCTGGGGTTCCCTGTGCGTGTGCATGTGATATGTGAGGCTGGTGTGGAGAATTTAGCCTGAGAGTCAGAGGGAGGGTTTCTAGCAGTGGAGTGACCTGCTTGCTCATGTCCAGGGGATCCAGCAGGGCAGCTAGAAAGAAATATGGTCTGGCACAATGGCAGGCTTCTCCTTGCCACTGGTGGAGGAGTTTGTTTCAGTTTAGGGATTAGTCGCCATTACCAGCTGATCAGTGGAACGTAGAGTTGGTTCATCCCCAAAGGAGTGCTTGCTAATCATGAAGACCTTAGAATAGCTGTGTGCTGGGGGTAAACAGAAAGAATTATAAAAAGAAGAGATTAAGAATGCTTTGTAGCATGTACCATAAACTGAAATGTCCCTTATTTTGAAAACCTGCTTTTAATTCTGCTCATCCCACGATTCTTAAAAATATAGTTCTGTCTAGAGAATAATTTAAAGATTTTCCTTATTATTTAACATACATTTGGTGACAGAAAGAGTGGGAAAATGCACTGATCTCAAGCCAATTGTGTATTTGTTTTTGTAAAATTTTTATAAAACATGCTGATTTCTGTCATTCTGTTTGCCATGTTCCTATCCCCGTGAGAACTGTATTCTAAAGCAGCATCCCCTGTTCTGAATGATACTCTGCAGAGCACGCACTCTGACCCTAATGCTCTGGGACTGGGCATCCTGTGCTAGAAGGAACCTGTGGGTTCCACCTGTCCCTCAAGGCTAGAGCCCTGAGAAGCAGGAGCCTCGTGTTAGCTCCTTCTCCCTCCCAACCAGTGGAGGTTCACAGGGCTCCGGCTCCTGAAACCTCCAGTAGCCCGAGACTTTCCTTCCACCCCCACCTTCCCTAACGCCATGCCTGCCGCAGGTGCAGTGCGAATGAGATGATTCCTGCCCTGTCAATCTCAGGGGAGCTACTCTTAATCTCTTCTGGGCTGTGGTCCCCTTTGAGGATCTGATGAAAGCTGTGGGCAAGATTTTGCATGTAACGTCAGGGGCTACCAGGAAACCCTTTTCCAGAGCAGGGCAGGCATCAATGCCCATCTCTTATCAGCAAATTCTTAGCAAAGTACAAAGTTGTAGTTCTTTACGAAGGGCAAAGGCAGCACTCTCATCTGTAACCTGGTGATAGCTGTATTATTAAGTTGTATTTTTATTACTACCCTCTTCAGCTAGCACTAGAAAGAGGTTGCCCGAGGAAGAGCCCACATCCTGGCACACTGCTCCCCATCAATATGGTTTTGCATGTATGTTTGTTATTGGGGAAAAAAACCAGCACAGATTTTTCAATATCCCTCTCCCGTCCTATTCAATGGTTTTCTTTTGTTGTTTTTCGTGATCCATTAGATTTTATACAGAACCACCAATTACCCACCGGTTGGTTTAGACTGTTGACTGGGAAGCCAAATATCATGTCTCCCTTACCCAGCGACTCAGCATTGTAGACTTTTGTTCTGTTCATTTAACTACGTGCTCTCTGCTTTTTTCCTAGAAAGGAATTTTCCTGAATTGAAATCAGTTAATAAAACTCTTTTTCTTTCTTTTTACAGCTTGTACCTCCTTTTAAACCTCAAGTAACATCTGAGACAGATACTAGATATTTTGATGAAGAATTTACAGCTCAGACTATTACAATAACACCACCTGAAAAATGTAAGTAAATTTAGAAGGCAATTGATAAATTTCTAATATAATTTCTCCTAATGTAATTGAAGAAAACAGTCTTTTAAAAACTCATCTGATATTTTCAAGATCAAATTCCACAGTGACTTACTCCATTCTATTTAAGAATATTGAATATTGAATTGAATTTAAGAATATTGAGTTCCCAGTGGTAATATCAAAAGACTGCAAGAAATGCTTTTCTGGGTAGGACAAATTATATAGAGAGAAATTGTAGATGAAATTACAGACTAGCTCTTCCTTACTGTTCACCAATAGATTGTTTTGACACCAACTGAAAGGATTGTGAAATAGAGACTCCCCTCTTTCCTAGACTTCGTTCATTCCCACATAACCTTCAGAATTTTGCCAGTTTTGGTCTCCTACTTACTTAATAGTTTTAAAATTCATGTAGAGTCACTCCTTTTTACTTAGCTCTCTCTTAAATAGTATTATCTGTGAAGACATAATTTAGTTTGCTAATACTTTTGGATACCTATAAATTACATATTTATGAAAACTGTGTGTTCATGTACCACTTCAAGTCAATTCATATACATTAGTATGTCTCACACTTGGAGAAATACCATAAATAAGTGGAGCTGTAATGAGGGAAAAGGTGATCAGACATAATTGATAAACATTTTCATGCTGACAGAGGTCTGTGTGTATCATCATTAACTTAAGAATGTGGATAAGATTGCGTTTCAGGGCAATATTTGGATGGCTGCAAGAATGCTTCAAGTTACACATCTTTGGGTTCACATCATAGTTTTTCTTTCCTTTTCTTTTTGATTCCTTCCCTATATGTCTTCTCCTCTCATTCCTTTTTTGGAGGCAGATTTATCCATAGTGCTGATGTGGACTCAGTGTCCGGGAGAGGGGCGATTGGAGGCTAATGCTGTGCCAGAGATGGTCACAGGCAGCAGATTCTACTGTCGAGAGGCAAACAAGGGGTCATGTGGGCCAAGAGGTCTTAATCTTGGGACCATGGTCTGGCCACAAGGGGATTGTGAACACCCTGAAAGTGAAGATATGATGACGTGTGTGTGCTTTTCTTTCTTTAGATTCACAAAAAGTTAAGGTGCTCCAGGTCCTGAAGTTGGGTCAGCCATAGCCAGAAGCAGGGCTTACCAACTTGACCGATGTCCAGGCTAAGTTGTGAAATACCAATCCATTGAAGTGAGCTACTCATGGTCAGTCCTGTGGTGAGGCAGAGTTTCCACTCAATCTTGTGCCATTGCTAGAATTTTAGAATCACTAAGAGTCACAGACAATGTTGGAAAGCCTGTGGAGTCATGGGCAAGTAGCTCAGCGCTGAGTAGAAATCATGGGCATAGGCCTTGGCCTCTGTCCCCAGCATAGACTGTGGCATTAGAATTGTCCAAAATGCTGGGTAACACCAGTGAGTTTTCGGATCGGCCCATGGGCAGTTCCTGCCATACAGCCTTTGCTAGGCCCTTTCATTTGGATATAATCCTAACTGTAATCAGACCACATCATTCCTCTGCTTAAAACCTTCCGGTGCCATCCCATTGCACTCTAAATCCAAACTTGCTCACACTGGTTTGCACAGCACTGACTGATCTGGGCCCTGTCCACCTCTCTGACCTCTTCCTGTTCCATCTTCCCCCACTGTCCCTGGGTTCCAGCCACACCTCGAACATGCCACACGTCACCATGCCTCGGGCTCTGGGGACAGTATTTATGGTGTCCAGGCCTGGAATGCTCTTCTTCCCTGATCTTACTTGGATGGCTCCTTCTTGTCCTTCAGCTCTAAGCTTACATGTCATTCCATCAGAGAACCTTCTTTGACCTCCTAGTCTGAAGAGCATCAGTCTGACAACATTCCCTCTCTCTCTTCATTCTCTGCATTGGCACCTTGACTTGCTGGTATTTTTCTGTTTGTTTGGTTAGTGTCTATTTCCGCCACTAACATGCAGTGGGTTGGAGAGGAAGGATCTAGTTTGTCTCATTCGTTATTAGCCCAAGCTCCTAGTTAGATGCCTGGCACAGTGTGCGTATTCAATAATACTTGTTAGGTGCATGAATACACAGAATATGGTGAGGGCCTAGGAACTTCAGAGCCGGGAGGACACCCAGGCTTGCCTCCCCTCTGAATATCCAAAGCAGATATTGGGATAGGAAGGTCTTGACAGGTCTCTTTCCTCAGTCTCAGCCTCTGAGAAAGTTTCCATTCTTAAATAGAGCATTTGGCATTTGCGTACCTTTAGAGCAAGTAAATATGTTATTTTGGAAGTCATAGAAATAAGAAGGCTCTAAAATGTCAAGCCAGGAGTAGATATTTTACTTAAGAAAGCTAAAAGTGAAATCCCAATTTGGGACATGGAGTGAGGCTGAAAAAGCCCAGGACTCAGACCTGGGGAACCTGCCTTGTGTCCTGCCTGTGCCCCTTACAGTTCTGGGCGATGGCCGGTCACTTTGTCCCCTGGAAAAGCAGGGAGCAGGGCTGATAGTCTCTCAGTGGCGTTTTTGTCCTCCCGTGTGCCTGAGAAGCCGTCTCTTTAGGAGAGGCACCGAGAGTTCTGCCAATTTGAATCACCCTATTTTCAATTCTGCTCAAGCACCAGATTGGCTAGTCCATAGTGTTACTGTATGCTGTGGGCCAGTCCATTTAGGGGGATGATAGGCCCAACGCAGCAAGCACCTGGCTGCAGGGGTGGTGTAGTGGAGGGCCGGCGGACAGGGCTGACTAATGCGATGCTCAGAAATGTGAGACTAGAAAGACCAGAGCAAATCAAAATGGATTTGGGTACAAATAAGGTCAATTAGAAACTGTTGTATATGACTCTTAGGCTAGTCAGTCATTTTTTCATGATTGACTTGAATTTCAAAGCCCTAGCTTTCAAGGACCAGAATCTCTTCGAAATTCATCTTACCTGCTTTATTCCTTACTCGACACCCGCGGGGCACTTGTCCTGATGAGAATTTGTCATTAGTGTGCATTTTATTGCTCAATCTCTAGGACTTCTAAAATGAGACTGAAATGTTAGAAGGTGTTAGAAGTCCCCCAGCACAGTTTCTAGAACATAATTTGAACCTAGTTCCTTGGCTTCATTAATCAGCAATATAAAAGCCATCAAGAATGTTTTTCCTGGCATGTCATATTTTACCACTGACAGCACCTCTGTTCTTAAATAACATGTGTCATTTCAGACATGGATCATGCTGTAAAAGCCCTACAACCTTGGTGTCTTTAAATGATAATAGGTTCACTTCTAGATTGAGACAGAGATACCTAGGAAGCCTGTACATTGTAGTAACTTTCAAGATGGTTATCAAAATCCACCTGCAATTGTAGGACCACAAAAGTCTGGCTTTTGTCTAGGCGCAGTGGTGCACACCTGTAATCCCAGCACTTTGGGAGGCCAAGGCGGGTGGATCACTTGAGGTCAGGAGGAGTCTGAGACTAGCCTGGCCAACATGGTGAAACCCCCTCTCTACAAAAAAAAATACAAAAATTAGCCAGACGTGGTGGTGCATTCCTGTGATTCCAGCCACTCGGGAGGCTGAGGCAGGAGGATCGCTTGAACCCGGGAGGCAGAAGCTGCACTGAGCTGAGATCACAACATTGCCCTCCAGTCTGGGTGACAGAGCAAGACTCTGTCTTTTAAAAAAAAAAAAAAAAAAAAAAAAAAGTCTGGCTTTTGTGGGTGTCAGAAATGGGGTGTGGTCCTGCCCTGCTCCTGGGCCCTGGACAGTACGGAAACGAGAGCCCAGCAATGTCATCTGTTTCTGACAGGGCACACCGCAATTGAGGGGTGGGGAGGGCGCTATGGACTTGCTGTGTTTTTCCCTATTCAGGACCTCTGTAGCAAGGAAAGTCAGACGGAAGAGCTCAGCAGAGTATGCCCAGGCAAAGACTAGCATCGACGCATCTGCAGGCACCTCTGTTCAGCAGCCTCTCCTGCTGTCTGTGTGGCTCAGCAGAGCGCAGCGCTCAGCACTGGGGGCCATGGGGCCCTGGGCTTCCTGTCTTAGGGGAGCAGCCTTGATGGTGGTTAACTGCAGCTTCTGGGTTCTTCTAGGGCAACGGGGCAGTATTTTTAGTTTGACAGTTCCTGGATACATCCTAGATTCCCTTAAGGAGCAGATAAAATGAGAATCACTGAAACCTTGAACGGTGATTACATTCAACATAACCTTTTTCTTGCAGCTTTGAATAGTTTAACTGGTAAGAAACCGTTGCAGCTCCCTAAGTGCTAACACACAGAGGTTTTGTTGATAAAAGTCCAGGGTAGTACCATTCGTTAGCAATTGTCTTCCCACTTGCCACCTTGCTTGTATAAAACAGAATACAGTTATTGTTTAGAACAAATCAGCAGTTAGAAAGGCAAAATGTTCCATTTTCTACAAACAGCTGCAGTGACATGCCAGATTGTCCTCACTGGCGTTAATAATGGAACAGATTTGGGAATGTGTCATCTTTCGTTATCGCCATTGATGGTCCTCCTCCTTCCTCTTACAGAAAAAGAGGGTTTCTTTGAGATCTGGTCGCTTTTACTGCCATATAATGCCATTTGTTAAATGTTCTAAGAAAATCAGGCAACTGATGTTCCTTGGATGCAGGGATTCAAGGGATGTAGCAAGTAGAGTTGATCATTGTCTTCTTTTTCCAGATAAGTGTTTTTGAAAAACATAGTTCATGTTCATTATCATCACTATTCCCTATGCACAGCCTCTCACAGCAGGAACTAACTTGTGTACATTGACAGGCTCCGACTCAGAGTCAGCTGCCACTTCCTCCAGCTCCCCTCCCACCGCAGCCCCTGCCCAGGCTCTCAGCTCTTTTAGGGCCATGATCAGATGTTCACGCCTCATTGTTTCCAAGCCTGACAACAGAAAGGGGCAGGAATGATGGAGGGAGATCATTGGCTTTAAAGAATATCAAGGATTGGGGCCCTCAGGGATATCTGTGAAATTTCCTAGATTCAGAATTGTGATGAATGTGTTACTGAAGTGACAGAATGAAGGCTGTCTCTCAATTCTTAGCTGACACCAGCAAGAGTCCCTCCTCTTCCAAAAGGGTGTCTAGCACCTGCCCCTGTTGAGCATCTGGCTAACCTGGGTGCTGAACCTCGCCGGGCTGGAATGAGTCCTGGCCATGGCCCCAGGAGTCCAGGCAGCTCCTGCCCTTCCTGGCTGAGCAGGACAAGCACCAGGCTCCCCACTGCTGTCCAGAGCCAGCTGCAGGTTTGCTGTGCAGAAACACTGAGTAAAATAAAGCTGTTGGTGAGGAAAATTGTTTATTTGAAATGTGATTGGCTCATGTCAGAATCTGAACATTAAGGTTTTAGCTGCCCGTATTCTCTAGAGAGTTTTTATACTCTGGGGCTCAACCACGGGTACACCATCATTCCCAGCTCCTTCCGTTTTTACTGTAGCTAAAAATACTGCTGAAGGTATTTGATCTAAAAGATGTGTGTGACTTGCTTGGTACAAATATTGGAACCAATAACTTTATAAGGAGGTAGAGATTTCCCCAAATCTCAATACCTTCTAGAAATGCTGACTGCAGTTACAGTGGTCTATTTGCAGAAGAAGAGAGGGCCTCCGAGTTCAGTGTCTTACACAGAGCAGGGAGCCACAAATGCTTCTTGATGGATCAGTTCTCACCTAATACGAGGATATCTTCTGGTACATTAGGGGTCAGAAATTTTGGCTAATGCCAGCTTGATCCCATTTCTAGAATCTTCTGCATTAAGAGTGGGATACAGAAAAGAAAAACAGTGATACAAGAATGGAAGTGTTTATTCTTCAGACAAAGGCAGAGCCCCCTCCTCTTCGGAGTGACAGAGTCAGAGCCTCAGTGCAGTGGGATCTGGCCTGTATGCTTTCTTTGTTTACACCCACATCCAGCGGATGCTCCCTGGAGAGGTTAGAATATTCAAAAAAATTGGTAATGTACTTCCTATATGGGTTTGAGGACATCGAATTATTTTGCTTGAAGAGAAAAGGGTTGAGTATTGGAAAGATTCACTGATTTCCATTGCAGGACAGCATATGATTAAACAAGCTTAGAGGCAAGCACGGGGGATTTAAAATGGAGCACCTCCCCCAGGAGACTGTGAGGCCAGGGGGCCCTTGGGACTTTGTTCAAAGTTCTGCGGTCCTTGGGCCTGACGGGTGCTCAGCCCAGAGCAGATGCGTGGGAGCGCATGTTGACTGAGTGGCTGACCACGTGGCCACATACCAGGAAGAGCTTCCAACAGCACAGGACTGTCATCACAGGACATTTATGAGAACAGGGTGCTGATCATCTGTGATCTTTGAAATACAGGAAACCAGGAAAGCTGACAGGAGGAACACTGTGATTGTCAGCGGCCTGTTTTGATGCCTTTCAAGTCTCTTCCATTGTTTCCTGATGAGCTAGGACTCAGATGTTGACATCCTTCCCTCTTTTTCTTTCACTTAGTCCCTTCATGCTAAAGTTTTATCATAGGGAAATTGGGAAAGGTGAGTTAAGCCAGATGCTAGATGTTGAATGAAATTTCATAAGAAGCTTTATTTTGCAGTTGCACTTAAAGCATCACAAAGAAAAAATATAAGCACTTGAAGACATTCGATGATGAATTCTATACAGACTTTGGATGCTGTGGATTTCACTGACTTGCAGTTTTGATATATGTGGTTACATGAAATGAAAGGTTACTGAAGACTGCTCCTTCTTAAAAACTTCTGTTTTCTTCAATACCATTTTTTTCACTGTTTCATTGAGTCTTGAAATTTTGATGTCTTAGAGATGATTCTATAGTATTATTTCTTCATAGACTATGTATTTATGAAAATCAGATGATTTTTGAAGTATAATTACTCTACAGCTTATTGATGAACACAAGTTTATGGGAGCTATTGCCTCTGTTCATCTTTCCTATGTTCAGAGTTTAAAAAACATAGACTAGAGATAATGTTGCAAAAAATGAATGTGTAAAATTAAAATAGATGTTTCCTGCCCACAGATGATGAGGATGGTATGGACTGCATGGACAATGAGAGGCGGCCGCATTTCCCTCAATTTTCCTACTCTGCAAGTGGACGAGAATAAGTCTCTTTCATTCTGCTACTTCACTGTCATCTTCAATTTATTACTGAAAATGATTCCTGGACATCACCAGTCCTAGCTCTTACACATAGCAGGGGCACCTTCCGACATCCCAGACCAGCCAAGGGTCCTCACCCCTCGCCACCTTTCACCCTCATGAAAACACACATACACGCAAATACACTCCAGTTTTTGTTTTTGCATGAAATTGTATCTCAGTCTAAGGTCTCATGCTGTTGCTGCTACTGTCTTACTATTATAGCAACTTTAAGAAGTAATTTTCCAACCTTTGGAAGTCATGAGCCCACCATTGTTCATTTGTGCACCAATTATCATCTTTTGATCTTTTAGTTTTTCCCTCAGTGAAGGCTAAATGAGATACACTGATTCTAGGTACATTTTTTAACTTTCTAGAAGAGAAAAACTAACTAGACTAAGAAGATTTAGTTTATAAATTCAGAACAAGCAATTGTGGAAGGGTGGTGGCGTGCATATGTAAAGCACATCAGATCCGTGCGTGAAGTAGGCATATATCACTAAGCTGTGGCTGGAATTGATTAGGAAGCATTTGGTAGAAGGACTGAACAACTGTTGGGATATATATATATATATATAATTTTTTTTTTTTAAATTCCTGGTGGATACTGTAGAAGAAGCCCATATCACATGTGGATGTCGAGACTTCACGGGCAATCATGAGCAAGTGAACACTGTTCTACCAAGAACTGAAGGCATATGCACAGTCAAGGTCACTTAAAGGGTCTTATGAAACAATTTGAGCCAGAGAGCATCTTTCCCCTGTGCTTGGAAACCTTTTTTCCTTCTTGACATTTATCACCTCTGATGGCTGAAGAATGTAGACAGGTATAATGATACTGCTTTTCACCAAAATTTCTACACCAAGGTAAACAGGTGTTTGCCTTATTTAATTTTTTACTTTCAGTTCTACGTGAATTAGCTTTTTCTCAGATGTTGAAACTTTGAATGTCCTTTTATGATTTTGTTTATATTGCAGTAGTATTTATTTTTTAGTGATGAGAATTGTATGTCATGTTAGCAAACGCAGCTCCAACTTATATAAAATAGACTTACTGCAGTTACTTTTGACCCATGTGCAAGGATTGTACACGCTGATGAGAATCATGCACTTTTTCTCCTCTGTTAAAAAAAATGATAAGGCTCTGAAATGGAATATATTGGTTAGAATTTGGCTTTGGGAGAAGAGATGCTGCCATTTAACCCCTTGGTACTGAAAATGAGAAAATCCCCAACTATGCATGCCAAGGGGTTAATGAAACAAATAGCTGTTGACGTTTGCTCATTTAAGAATTTGAAACGTTATGATGACCTGGCAACAAAAAGTAATGAAGAAAATTGAGACCTGAGTGAAGATAAGAAATGATCTTTACGTGGCAAAATGAACACATCTTGAGTATTTAGGAAATGGGCAGTGAAGGCTAAGAACCTGGTGTGTTTCTTGGGATCATGGTACATTTATCACTGAATTAAGCCATCAGGGAAAAAACAACAAAAAAAGAGAACACCTCCAGCTTTTCTTTTTCTGTATATACTCATGTCCCCCAGATTCCAACATTTCTCACTGAAAGGGGGCATGTATGCAAACCTCATCTTTCTCCTTCATTAATGATGATCTTCAGATTAAACCCTTTGGTGCTAGGAGCTGACAATTTCCAAAGCAGCCTGTGAAGTCCTAGGGGCTGGGGGCCACTCTTGCGGCAAGCAGAAGGCCATCCTACTCCGCGGAGTGATCATGGAAATGTATTTTAGTTAAACTCTGACAGCTCCCAAACGGAAGACTACAGCATGACGTAGTATTATGATTGCATTGTATGAAAGAGCAAGTGACTTTCTAAGTAGGATGAATCATATTCATATGCAGATGTCTTAGCCTCTTGACGCTGGAAGTGTGGATTTATAGCTATGAAACCACTGCTGGCAGTGGGTGGGCCACTGGGACTGACGGGGGTTAAAGGGCATTTTACTAAGGCAGCTAAGACATATTCAGACATCAACGTTATCCTTCTTTTTCATATTTCTACCTGAGTGAAGTTCATCCTTAGTATTGAGTAGGAAGTTACAGTAAATGGTAGTTCATTCTTACTTACACACATAGCTAATCTTTTTTTTTTCACTTGGAATTATGTTGAATGTTTCATTTTGACAAAAAAGTAGACTAGAAGGTATGTTCTTTAAGTTGTCTTGCATCCATTATATAAGAAAGAAACAGGTGAGAGGAAGAGCAGAAAGCTGAGACTGGCTGATGTTCAGAGCACTTACTCCTCTAGAGGGAAAGCATGACACCGAACACTAAGCACACAGCTTTTTGTTGTTTTGGTTTTTTCTCCCGCAAATCTTAAAGTGATTCCCATGACCTTGGCCAAGGACACTTCTTAAAGATTAATGACTGGCACTGACATTGCCCCAGGCGGGCCACTCCTCACACTGGCTCTCAGTTCCCAGCCATGCCTGGGGCTCAGTCACTTCTATTCCACCCTCTGAGACTCCATTGGTGTCACACAAGGTGTCTTCTTGGCTTTGATTTTGAGAATCCCCTATTTTCACTTCCAGATCTGTCAGCTGCCATGGAGGAATAATAGAAAACCAGAAATGCGTGTAGAGGGAGATTTCTAAAACTTCCCTTGTGTCGCCCATAGTTGTAGTTTTGGGTTCTGGCAGGTGGAACACCCTGAAACCTGGAATCATTCTATGAGAATACAGTTCAGACTTTGCAGACTCCAGCCCATACTAACTGTCATGAAGCTTGACTTCTTGTCATAATGCAGCCATCTTGGAGGAAATTGGCCATTTCTGCTTAGATGGTTGGCAGGGTCGCGCTCAGCTTTGCTTTCTACACTAATTACATAGCATTATTCAAGTATTGTTTTCCATTTCCCATCCCTGATTTCCAGCTTCTTAAAGCTGACTGTTCTTGCAGGGGCCACTTGCTTCTCCTAGAGTACAAAAGTAAGGGCCTTCCTTACTAACTGCAGGGTCTCTCTATTACACCTCAACATACACACTTTGCTGCTACTGTTTGTACTGTCTACAGTAGAATTTCCTTATCTTGCTCCTGGTAGTGCATTACAGGCAAGCATGAAATGTAAAGTATTTATTTAAATAAAAAGAAAACCTCTAAATTGGTAATTGAATTACCTCCCTGTAGCTTTATAGTTTGTGACATTTCTTGACCTTGCTAGTTCTTTCATTAGATCTGCGCAAGATCTAGTCATCTGGTTAAGGATTTTAAGCAGATGCAACTATAAACCCAAGAAACTGTATTACTATTACTGTTGGTCATACTAAACCTGTCTATTTCCTGAAGTATATGACCCACAAGGATGTGGAATAACTAGGAGAAACTGTTTTTGTACACTGTACATCCTTAGTATTTTTACACGTATATGATAGGGATGAACATGATTTTCCTTCGTACAGACAGCTTAAATAAAGCACTATGTCAATCTGCTACTTCTCTGTTTATTGTTGTTGGATGTGGTTCTATAATCCCCCCAAATTAAATCTTCTTTAATGAAAACATGATTTTTAATAGCCCCAGCTGGTATTAACCTACCTTGTATAAAATGTGACAGGAAAATATAGAAATAATTCCTTGTAGCTCACACACACACACATAGGGGATCATTTTTACTTCAGTGAAATGGCAGTAGTGCGGTTGTGCAAACTTTGATGAACGGCTGCTTCTGAGGGGAAACGCTGACCTCTCAGCACTGGATTTAGGATGGATGTACTGTGAAGCCAGGGATGAAGGAGGTCTCAGACCCTGGGGACATTCAGACCCGAATCATCTATACAACACACGGTTTGGACCCAGAATCTGAAGGAATGTAGCTTTTCATTAACGTCTTCCTGATAATGTACTGCTCTGCATATTTCCTTTCTTAGAGTGTATTTCTAACAACATGTCATGGCAAATTAACAAACTTAGACGTGGGTGATGTAGATGGGTAGGATGGCTGGACTGCAGTCTGACTTCACGTTGAATCATTCTGGATGGGGCCTTTTTCTGATTTTACCTCATAAAGCTACTATTGTAGAAACTTGGCTTTGCTCCTGTGACGAAGCCAGACAGAGGAATGGCTTTTGGGACCAGAGTGAGTCAAGCATGTATGTGTATGTCACACGGCCAAATTTGAGGGCATTCTCACATGTGCTCTTCTCTCAAAACCACTGGGGTTGACAGATCCAGGAGGCTAAAAAAAAGTGACCTCTATAATTCTTTAAAGGTGCTATTTTTAGAATATTGTATAATTTATTCACAGTATATCTAAAACAGAATTAAGGACAATTAAAATATCTTATGTGACAGCCTTTATGTCTAGCACATTTGATGAAATAAAAAACTTCTGAATCTGAATAGAAGTTCTACTGTTTCAGGCTTGAACCTTTTACATGCTCAAGAGATTCAAATGGTCTCTGTGTGTAGATCATGCCACCGCCTCCAAAGCCTAATCCACATCACTTCTGAGAGGCAAGGCTGAGCATATGGTGACATCAGCTCTGTGTTGAGATGGTGATGAGGATGATGGCTCGCTGGCCAGGCAGGGCAGCCGAAGGTCAGGGACCTGTCCTAACTAACTGCAGCCTTGCCTTTAGTGTTTGTCATTCTCAGATACAACACGGTATGTCCAGTGTCCGTTTTTATTACTTTAAAGCATTTGAGGGCTTAATTGTGTATAGTAGAAATACTATTTTAGACAAATAATTATCTGTGTACAGATATTTGATATACTCTAAGTAAATTTTCTAATTTCACTAAGTACGTTTTTAGGCTCCTCTCAAATACTGCGTATTGAAGAAAAAAATCTGACACCACCGAGCCAAAGATGCTTTTTTGTCTGTTTTCGTTGTTTAACAGAATGGAAAGAGTAATGCATAGTGCTTCCTGGTGTCTCCTGATTGATTGATTGTGCACAAAGTAGGACGATAAATAAATAAAATGGAGTCTGATGGGACATTGATTAAAGGTGAAGGATGATTGATATATAGATCATGAAAAGAAAAATGAATGGCAGGAAAAAAAGTTTGGTCCTTAATATACTTTGGCCTAGTTAAAATATGTGCCTTTTTGGTGTGTTTTGTTCATCACTACAAGATAAAAAGGAAACATTACAACTCAAGTCTTTAAAAAGTTCATTTATTGAAAATCATATGTATAACCTAGCATACGAATGAGCAGATTTAAACACATAACTTCAAGCCATTTCTGAAAACATACACCAGGAGCTCTGCTCAGCTAGAGTCAGACTCCAGCTCCAGCCCGACTGCGTGCGGGGACAGCGCCCGCGTTGATGAGGACCAGCCCCACTGCAGGCTGAGGCGGTGTCACCCTGGGAAGGTCGTGGTGCGTTGTGGCATATTAAGTCTAAACCAGATGAATGTAAATATCTCTTTGTAAATCATTTATTTCACTCTGTTCCATCCAGGTCAGCAATCAGATTGTGGCATGCTGGGTAACTGGAAAAAATAATAAAAAGTAAGTTTCAATAGCTCATGTTCTTCAATGTTATTTGTCTTCTCATTTGCTGGTTTAGTCACCTTTTATGATGAAAACTGTTGTTGGAGAAAAAAACCTGTTGCTAAAAATGTGGAAATTATATGAAAAGTTTGTGCCTCATCTTGTCCACATCAAAGCCCTTCACATATGAAATAAGGTTAACTGGTTTAATGGGTTAAATTTGAAGACAACCTAGACAAAAGACACGCCTGCCTCTTAAATAAGGACAGTCTGGTGTTAGGACATGGCCAGAGAGCCATCTCTTCTGTCCGGGAAAGGACACATTGATTTGTGCCATAATCTGTTTACTGAAAATTTATCTGACCTTAACGGCAGGTAATTCTAGAACAAAAACAGGGTGTAGGCCAAGTGCCCCTAAGAAATTCCTCGTGAAACAATACAAGCTGAAACACCTCCAAATTTGTAACTGCAAGCAATTTATTGTAACCTATGAAAAAGTACTTTCACATGGAAACCTCACATGTGTTGGAAGAGGGGATTGGGTGTACTGAGGTCTCTTAGTTTTACGCAGATACAAATGTTCCAAAGTAGCTTCATGCAGATCAGGTTGGGGGAGAATCACAAGTTCAGAAAGTATTGAATACTGTTCCTGGCCTCTGCTGCCATGGCTGCCCAAATTAGTTTAAACCACATCAGGAACTAGAGTCAGAAGCCACTGGAAATGTTTCCACTCCACAAAGCATGTCTGGAGTTTCTACTGTGCACTGTGTGGGAAGGTGACTGGGCCACAGTCCTCGCCCTCTAGATTGTGAAGTCCAGAGAAAAGCCAGGATGGTATTTTCCAAATCCCGGTTTCTACGTCAGATAAATTGGGACGCACTGCAGGGCCAGGGGCCCAATCTGGTCCCTCTTTCTTTAGTTAGGAACCATCTTCCAAAAAGAGAAGTGGGCCTGCCCCTCTCCAGTGAGGATTTTCCAAGCTGGACTCCAAGGGAGGACTCTATCAACCTAATTTAAGCCATCATTAACATGGGGATTTCCAAGACAGGGCAATGAGTGAAACTGAATCCGCATTCAAGAGAAATATATGAACATCAGCCTGTTGCCTTTTATGAAAAATGAGAAAAAGTAATGTTTACATTTCAAGTAGATTTCCCAGTGTGTGAGAGACCCTGAGGACAACTTTTTCTTGAACAGGTCTGTGAGTAGTGGGGTGGTCTCAGCAGGGTAGTTAGAGTAGGTGGGGGGCCTGGCCTCAGGCTGAATGCAGGTGGGGCTCCGGCAGGAGGCCTCACTCCTCCTCGTAAACCTGCCATCCCATGCACACAGCCCTCCCAGGCCCGTGGAGCCAGGTGGACAATTTCCTGGGCCCACGGGATGCTTTGTTCTCCAGGCCCTGTCTGAGTGGCCCATGAGGAGTCCACCCCATGCACTATGCCCTAGAGCCCTGCCATTGCAGAGGGGACTCCCTTCTGTCCTCAGTGGGATACTGACAGCACGGAGACTGCCACCAACACGATCTGATTGTCAAACGCAGGGTTTGCACCAAGCTGACGTGCCCTCCAGGCCAGGTGATCGAACTGACCCAGCACAGTCCTGCTAAATGACTGGTTTGAATGGCCCTCCACCCCTGCTCCATGGATTGGCCACATAAGGCAGGTGGCCTGGTGGCCTCGCTCTTGACACAGTGGCTTCCTAACTTTAGAAATGCTAGGATGACTGAATACAAAAGGGATAAGCATAAATCCCAACAGATAACACTTCAAAAGAAAAACAACCCAACAGTGGCTCACACCTGTAATCCCAGTGCTTTGGGAGGCTGGGGCAATAGGATCGCTTGAGTCCAGGAGTTCGAGACCAGCCTGGGCAACATAGTGAGACCTCATCTCTACAAAAAAAATTGTAAAAATTAGCCATGTGTGGTGGCGCACCCCTGTAGTCCCAGCGACTCAAAAGGCTGATGTAGGAGAATTGCTGTAGCCCAGAATTCAAGGCTGCAGTGATGAATTTTGGGTAGAGAACACACCCACGTACACACAATACAGAATAGGCGTAAAGACCTGAAGTAAAAGTAAAATGTGTTGCGGAATTTTTTGATAAGCTCCAGGAAACAGGCATTTCTCATGATGAGTCTACATAATGCCTGTGGGCTCCCAGGCCACCTAGCAATTTATCACTATCGGAGCTGTTCCAGAAACGGGTGACCTCCTGATTCCGTGGGCCTGCATGGGGGTGACACAGATGTACGGGCCTCACCAGGAACCAATCAAAAGTCAGCCTGATTCCTTCCTGCGGCAGATCAGCCATGGCCATCTCTATGGGCTTTGTATTTCCTGCGGTTCAGGTGAGAAGCCCCATATCCATCCCCACTTTCACACTGTTGAACTTACCGTTCACTGCTCAACGCCCCCCCCCCCACCCGTGCCTACAGCCGTGCCTGACCCATGGTGAGCGTTCAGTCAGCACTGGAGGGCTGGATAATTTGTCCTAGGAGGTCACCGTTTTGTCGCCTCCATTTGCTGACTCTTTGGTAACACACATTTCTCTGACCGAGACAGAAGCCTTAGTTACTGCCCACATCTGGCTTGTCTGCCATTAGGGATATCCACGATGCTTATTTCCAGGAAGTCCTGTCATCAACACCACAGTGATCATGGTCTCGTCCAGGAGAGTAGAGCGTGCGTATGCCAGTGGGACATGAGCCCTCAGCCAGTGTCTCCCGTCCTTCTGCCCTTCCATTTGTCATCATGGCCCTTGCTGTGGCCCTCCTGTGGCTGTCCTGCAGCTCAGAGGGGGGCGACAGGGCGCCCTGGCCACTGCTCCCCTGCCGTGCTGTCCACAGGTGGTGGAAACGTGCCCCCATCTGCAGGCACACAGCTGCTAACCCATTTTCTTTGTTCTCATTTTAAATCCTATCGGAGTCATCTCTCCACAAACCCTGCCTCATTTATTTCTAAAGTTTGTTAAGTTCTGAGTGTAAGAAATCAGTTGCTCTGGGTGACCTGAACTGTTCCCCAGGCAACCACACTGTGGGGTCCAGCCAGCCTTTGCTGCTGCTTTGTTCCCAAACCAGCCAGAAGTGGCAGCCCGGGGAGATGGTGGCACCCCTCGCCCCTGCTCACAGGAGACCTGCCCGGGCTTCGCACTTCACTGTCTCCGTGGGTGGCTCTAGCCAACCCTTCTGAAGGTAACAACCCCTTCCCCCCCTGCTGTCCGCTCTGCTCACTGGCACGCTGTCTCTGTTTGGCCAAGTCAAAACGTGGTCCTGTTCCTTGTGTGTCTGGCAATAAAGCATCCATTTGTAACTGGAGAGGGCAGGCCCCTCCCCCTACCTCCATCTGGGGCATTTCAAAGCTGGCCCTGAGTTGACAGAGCTCCAGGGCAGCCCCTGCCTCGCTTGGTGGCTCGCCTCCCGCCTCCGCCTCGTGTTCTGGGCACCGGGGCCAGGGCTCGGCAGCTGTTCCAGCCAGGCCCGGCTCCGCCCGCACCCGCTCGGGTACCTGCCCCCATCCACACATCCTGTGGCCTGAGAAGAAGTTCATTTCCCTGCCCAGCCACTTCCCAATTCCATTCACTTCATTTCTCTGGGCCTTATTTTTCTATCTGTACAAAATGGTTATTTATCTCAAATGGCCCTTTCAAGCCCACAATGATCTCAGCACTAATCCTGTTGGTTTCATAATCATCTGTGCTGGGCTCTGGGTAATATGAGGCACTTCCTTTTAAAGGGAAGCTGGTTCTTTCTTTTTCTCTGCCAGAAATCAAGTGACATGAAAGCTAACACATGTCTCTGAAGCAACGCAGAGCTGAGATTCGAATCCAGGCAGTTTGACCTCAAAGTCCAGACTCTCCCATGCGAGGCTCTCCTGCTTGCTCTGGCAGATGAGGGGCAGCCAGTTTGATATCTACGGAATTAAGCTGCCAAATTGGGAAGGCAACCTGGATGAAATAAGCCACGTGAGCTCTGGCTCGCCACCAACGCACTGAGGAGAGAGGTGCCCTCAGCATGCTGGGCAGAACGTCGGGGAAACGCGGCCTTCGAGCAGGACCGCCCACCTGTCAGAAGGGAGCACTCCTCTACAGAGCCGAGGGGCAGTCAGCCACCCTCAGGCCCCTGCGGCCCTGCTGTCCCCAGCACAGCGACTGAAGTTCTCACTGAGGGGCCTCGTCCCCTCCGGGTCAGGCCTTTCCAGGAACCTGGCTCTGCCAGCTGCAAAGCAGGCGGGGGCTCACGGTTAAGGCCATCGCAGGGCAGCGGCCATTCTTCCCTCCTGGCTGCCCGGCTGGGCCCCTGATAACAGCCTCCACACCGCAGTCAGAGTTCAAAGCCCTCCTTCCCTTCCACCGCAGGGCTTGGCTTTGCTGCTTCTGGGCTCCGAGAAAGGAACAGGGCCGCAGAAACCAGAGGAATGGAAAGGTATCCACAGAGAAGGCCGCCTTGCAGACATGAAGTGGGACGTTCCGTAAGACAGCATCTCGAGCTGGACTTGGCGGGGAGAGGGAGGCGGCCCCGCACAGGCCAGGGAGGCCCCAGCACACATGAGGCCGGGGTGGAGGCCCTGGCTCTGCGGTGCCACCTGTCCTCCCCAGGGCGCACCCAAGCCCAAGGGTTCCTTCCCAACCGTGGGGTCTGAGTTTGTCATCTTCCAGCTTTCTCAAGTCCCCTGAGTCATGAGAACTTCCTCTACACACAGGCAGGTCTGTGTTTTATATGAACCATGTTTCCATGGTAAATAGATTTTAAGAATTCCCAAAGGACAGACAGTGTCACCAACAGCAGAGAGTGGAGCCTCTGGCTGCCTCATGTTTGAAAGTGTTAAAAATAAAGACAACACTGACATTTGGGGTTGTAATGTGACGGAATTACAGTCTTTTAAAGGCAAGAACCACTTATCTACACTACATGCAATATTCAGTGTTTTGTTCACTTGTCTAATTGGATTAAAATATTTAGCTCCCTTTAAAATCTTGATTGTGAATTTATATTGTGAAATGTAATGTCTGACTCAGGAAGCAATAAGTAGAGTGAATGTATCTGAAGGAATATAAAATTCAATTGACTTTTCTCCCATGATTCTTATTCTGAAAGTACTCACTCTTGGACAAAGTGAACTGTTAACGGAAGAGCAAGTCTGGCTAAAATGAAGCCCTATGCGCTTTTCAATATTAATTATACACGGGGCGCTCAGTCAAAAAACAAAAAGTTTAACTGTCTGCTGTTGGAGGTGTTTGGGGAAGTTTCTCCGAAGGTCGCGAGATGCTTATGTTAGACATGCAGCACCCAGGGTCTTGTGTCATTTTTTAAAAACACTCAGGCAGCAGGGAGTTAATGACATTTTAGCTGCATATGTTCAAGTTTATTTAAAAAAATATGCAAGTCACTTTGGTTGACAGTGTCTTGTACACAGTTTTGAAAGAATCAGGGCAAACTTTAACAGAGTCAGTTTTTATTTGAAAAATATTTTCTGGGAATGTATCAGTGTTTATTTTTGAGACTGACAATTCGGGTGAAAATCAGGATAAAAACAAAAAAACAACAATTTGGTTGAAATCAAATTGTTTGTTTTCATCTATTTAGAATTCTTTCCAAAAAATCTTGGTTCAGGAGGAGGCTTTTTAATTTATTTTATTCAATGTATTTGCTGTTCTATTCAAGCGCCATCTGTCTTACAGGTAGCTAACTTTGTGGTAGCTCCTAAGTCAGCTGGGCGAGGCCCCCAGGGCTCCTGGAAGGACCACAGTAAATTAGGTGACACCTCCAAGGCCTAACATGGGCAGCCTGCAGCAGCTCCGCCTTGCAGCCAGGCCTCCCTCGGCAGGGAGTCTTGCTCCCTGAGAGCTGTCACTTTTCTAGAACCTCCCTTCTCCCTTTGCTTCCAGTTGCAATGGGCCTTTCCTCCCTTCATCATCTTCTGTGTCTCTGTGTCCCCTGCTTGTTTTCGGCTCTCTTCTATGAGTCCTTTGGTATAATGAGATAATGTCGATGATCTTGAATATAATCACATATGGCTGCTGGATCCATGCACAAGTTTAAATCAAATTAGAAAGTAAATTCACTGCCAAGAATGCTTAAAAGTCATAGGGCCAACTGATTAACCACTGACAAGTCAGTTTCCGACTCTGTTTTCTAAACTGTAAGTGATTCATATGAGGGGACTAAAAGGGAATCACTCCCCAGATTGAACACTGCAGACAGAACCAAGCAGCCTGCTCAGGATACGACGGCTACCAGAAAATGCAAGTCAGCCAAAACCGTATTCATTACCAAATAAGAAAGCAGACACAGAAAATCATCTTGATGGTTGAGACCATCCTCTAAGTGGACAGATAATTTCTGTTTTCCCCTGTCCCAGATGCCATTCTCCCCAAGACTCATGTTTCCTCACCAGCTGGCTCCAACCTTCCTAGCCAGATGTTAGAGCCCCCAGGCTCTGGGCCGCAGACCCCTGACCCTGCTCCAAGCTGTCAGGCCCTGCCCAAACTCCCCTGAGACCCACCACCCTCACCCCGAATCCCCCTCCCCCCACCCCCACCACCAAGGTTTCAGCCTCCCCCAGCCAGGGCCTGCCTCTCAAGAGGGCGAGAGTGCGACTACCCAGCCCAGTCTCAAACAAAAGACAGGCCAGGGTGTGTGTCTGGAGGCCCTGACCCTCCCGGAATACAGAGTGTGGGGAACTGCATCTAGGCAAAGCTGGGCTAGTGCTTCAGTGTCTGTTTCTCCACAAGGACAAGTAAGAGCCATTTCATGACATTTAAAAGCTATTTTCTTGAAGTTGTTTCCGAACCCAGGTGAGGCAGGAGATCAATAATGCCATTATTTGTAGTCACCCTAAACTAAGAACAAGCCAAGAGGCCGGGCAAAGCTCATGCCTGTAATGCCAGCACTTTGGGAGGCCAAGGTGGGCAGATCACCTGAGGTCAGGAGTTCGAGACCAGCCTGGCCTACGTGGAGAAACCCAGTCTCTACTAAAAATACAAAATTAGCCAGGCGTGGTGGCAGGCACCTGTAATCCCAGCTACTTGGGAGGCTGAGGCAGGAGAATTGCTTGAACCCAGGAGGCAGAGGTTGCAGTAGGCCAAGACCATGCCATTGTACTCCAGCCTGGGCGACAAGAACAAAACTCATCAAAAAAAAAAAAAAAAAAAAAAACAGCTGGGCGCAGTGGCTCACGCCTGTAATCCCAGCACTTTAGGAGGCTAAGGTGGGCGGATCATTTGAGGTCAGGAGTTCAAGACCAGCCTGGCCAACATGGCGAAACCCCGTTTCTATTAAAAATACAAAAAAATTAGCTAGGTGTGGTGGTGGGTGCCTGTAATCCCAGCTACTTGGGAGCCTGAGGCAGGAGAATCACTTGAAGCCGGGAGGCGGAGGTTGCAGTGAGCAGAGATTGCACCACTGTACTCCAGTCCGGGTGACGGAGCAAGACTCCGTCTCAAAAAAAAAAAAAAAAAAAAAAAAGCCAAGAAACGAGCCGAGAGCTTGAGCCAGTGCCCTGAGTCCTGCCCACCGCAGACAGCGCCGGGGAGCGGGGAGGATGGGGGTTCTCGTGGCCAAAAGCATCCATGTGGCAGCTACCACTACCAGGGGCTCCCTCTGCCAGCCATGTTGTTGTGAGTGTTTCAGAATTCAAGCAGAAACAATTAGAATAATGAAGCCTGCCAACAGGCTAGACACTTCCTGTTGGAGGCCACAGGCCAGCCTGAGCCCCACCACCAGGGGCAGCGGGGCTCAGGACCCAGGACAGGGAGGGAAGGAAAGGGGTGGACTTTGCTTTGGAACCATTGCCCGACCCATTCTCTTCTGGGTATTAAGTGGACAGAGATGTTTAGAGTTTGACATGCAAAATTAAGTTAAGCTTAACTCATCCAGGCTGAGAAAACGGAAGCCTTTAGTTAAACCATCTCTAACCCGGACATGAGGACAGCTCTAACCCTCAGCTGCCCAAGATCTGGACCCACAGGCCACTCCAGGAAAACAGAGAGGGTGGCTGAGCACTCCGGAGCCCTCAGGCGGCACCGCATCCAAAATACCTGCTCGAACCTACAGCAGCCTCGCCCACATCATGGCTCAGCAGAAGCCTAACTCACAACTCAAGCTGATTCCATGACAAGAAGGCATCGCAGAGGCTGAAGCCCACTGACAGCCCCTACCTAGAGGTGAAGGCCAGGCTTAGCCAGAAAAAGCAGGCTCTGGGTTTAGATATTCAGCAGAGAGCTTGCAAACCTGGATCCCTGCCTCCTCTCTGACCACTAGTATTTGCAACTGAAAGCCAACATTCCCTCTACCAAATTTCTTTTGTCATGTTCATATTAAAATAACTCCAAGTGTAATATTTGAATCTGAAAGGCCGCTTTAGAGATGAGCCAGATGGGCCAGTATCAGATAGCACAGGAATGGGCAAATCATTGCTGTTGCTTCAGGCAAAAGAAGAAAGAAAGACCTGCTAGTTTTTCTGAGGATTTTTTGAGGTTTGGGGTTTTTTTAATGCGTTTTGTGAAAATTTTGCAACTCATTTGGCAATAGCCAGATTTTTAAAGCCCTGGAAGAAGCTTCTAAGCATCGGTGATCCATGTTAAGATCTAAGTGTGCTGTAAAGCAGGCAGATGGGGAGTTAAAAGGCAAAGCCCACGTTCTCCTGATCTAGTCCAGAGCCCAAAGGAAGCTGCCGTGTGCTCCAGCTTCCACGGAAGACTCCCCACAACCTGAGGTCTGACAGAGTTCTTGGCTTTAGAGGCTGAAGATTCACTCATGCCAGGAGTCACGGTCCCTCCCTCCTATGTGACAAGAGCCTAGTCACCTGCCAGGAGACCTAGTGGCTCCAGTGGTCCTGATCTTTGGCTGGCCAGGCCTAAAGCAGGTGCTGCTGGGGCCCTCCCTGGGGACCTGCCCACAGGGCTGGGTTCTGGGCTGGGTCTGGTGGAGGATGAGGGGGTCATCCTGAAAGCAGAGGGGAGGGGAGTGGCACTGGTCCCACAGCTGCTGCTCTGCAGGCCTCTGCCTTCCCTGAACCTCTCCCAGGACCCTCTGAAGATGAGGGAGAAAGGAAACACCCTCACACGTCCTCAGCCTGTGTGCCCAAGGGCCCGTGGGGCATCCCGCCTGCACTCAGCACTCCCAGTAGCCCGTGAAGCCAGGCGTGCACCATGCCCACTGTGCAGAGGAGAAACTGAGGCTGGAAAAAGGCTTAAGTTACTTGTCCGAAGCGGGGGCAGGGGATTCAGCACAGTGACACAACCTGGAATAATTCTCTGTTCTTTCCAGCTCCAAACACTTCAGAGGTTTTCAAAATGTAGTGTCGTCCAGAATCATCCCAACAGCTTGGCAAAATTCAGGTTCCAGGGCCCTGCCATGGAGCGTGCCAGGTGAGGCCTCGCCTCCTAGATTAGCTGTGGCAGTGCGGCTGTGGCTCGGACTTTGAGCGGCCCGCTCCCCCACAGTCCCTGGGAGCAGTCTCAGAAGCATGGGGACAGTAGAGGCATTTCCACCTCCAGGCCTTAGCTCCGTGGCGCCTGGGTGTGCTCATTTACTGTCTGTGAACACATGTTTGGCAGAGGGATTTTGGACCGAGTGGGAAAAGTCAGTACTTACAGGTTCCTTGAGCACAGGGTCATTTTGTGAGGAGAATGAGACTCCTCTTCGTTTTCATTTCCAGATGCATTTTTCATATTAATCATTCCAAGCACTTACTGCCTGAAGTCCCCAGGGCACTCACAGAGCACCTGGGTGCAATCCTAATTAAAGGCGGAGGCCTTGGTCAGCCCACGGACCACCTCATTATCCTAACAAACTGCTTGACGGGGCAAAATGCACAGCCTCTCTGACAGGAAGAGAAGCGATTTAGCAAACGAGGTTTCATACTGTGTTCCAAATTCACCGGGACACTTTCCTTCCTCCCTTTTCCCTGCTGGTGGCCCCGGATCTAACCTGAATGGGGAAAGCCTGGGCTGTGGAGTCAGGCTTAGCCTCCGTTTGCGGTGTCCCTACTTGCCAGCTGTAATGCTTGTCTGGGCCTTAGTTTCCCTATCTAAACCATGAAGACAATAAAGTCAGCATCGCCTGCTTGTTCAAGGGTAAAGGGAATTAATGCATGTTCTGTGTGTAACACTGCCGGGTGCTCTGCAAGCACTCCAGATATTAGCCCAGTAATCAGTCAGCTAATTTAGGATGAGATGCCTGCCTTCCATTCAAGACGACTTTGCTAATTGGGAACACCTCTTTCCTCAACCAATTCAAACCATACACGACCTTCAGAGGCAGCTCAAGGCCACCATCCTCCAAAAAGCCTGTTCTGCCGCCCACGGCCGTCCTCCCGCTTCTCCCTGCTCTCGCACCCTCCGCAGCCTGCACGGCGCAACTTGGCACTCGGTGTGGTTCGTTGATTCGCGGGCCGGGGTCTGTTCACCTGCACGGACTTTAACTCCCTCACCAGGACGGGCCCATGGCTCCGCTTCTCTGGGTCCTGCACTGTGCCCAGCACAGTCTTCGGGACCTCCCTCCCAGCTTACTGCTAACCGATGTGATCCGTGAGAAAGCCGGCCTGTTGAGGTGCATAAAAGATCCACCTGTAGACGCCCGCCCAAGGACTCCCACCTGCGCCGCGTTCTGCACAGTACCTGGGTCCGCAGCCGGTCCACCTCTTCCGACAGGCTCTGCCTCTCCAGGAGAAGCTGGTTCTGCTTGCTGAGGAGCTGCACCAGCTGCTGGGCTGTGGCCTGGCTGTGCTTATCCAGCTGCCTTAGCCTGGAGAAAAATCCACCGCAGAATTAAAGAGGGATAACGTCAGCCTTTCAACAGGCCCAGGGGCTGTGTGTATCTGAGGGAAGCCCCTGATAGGGAACCATGAGCAGGACGCCTAGGGTGACCCTGAGGTGCCAGGCTCTGGCTGGCACTAGGTCCTTGGTACGCACTGTGTGAAGGTAACATTCTAGCAAATGTGCGTGGGAACTGGGAGCCATCTCAGTACACTATCAATTAGAAAACACGCAGATAAGTGGGGTAAGTAGAAGGAAAAGGAAGCTTTGAACTCCCAAGCAGAGGTCAAAGATGAGGGGCCTAAATGCCGCCATTGTTCAGCTGGAAAGGTCTCTGGCAGGCTGAGCAGACGGCCGCCCCGGCTGGGGAAGTGGGTGAGGGCCGTGGAAACACTGAAGTAAGGGTTTTCCATTATTAATCACTCAGTCAATCACGAGCTCCGGCATCGCTGACCAGATGTCTTTAAAGATCCTAAATTTGTCATTCTGCTGATGGGCGCTCCTCTCCAGACTTGCTAATTCACTCAGACCATTATCCTCATCTGTCCACAGTCGGCTTCCTACAGCCAGCAGCACAGTCACCCATGGAACTGTTGGCTTTGGATTAAATGTGGAATTGAACGACTACCCAGAAGTGTTCTGGAAAGAAGCGAGATGTGTGGCCTGCCTCACCGTCCTCACCCATCAAAAGCACCAGCAGGCACGTTAACTCGAATTCTCACAAGGAAAAGGCCATTAAAGCTCAAGGTGCATTTCAAACTCCAGGCTACTGAGCCGAAGGCCTCGTGGGCCGTTCTGCGGACACCGGCCTCTGGCTGCCCTCAGTCCGGGCTCTCCTGGGACTCCGGGCACAACTAAACTTACACGGCCACACGTTTGGGCCTTCGGGTTGGGATAGGTTCCTTTACAAAAAAGGCCGCACATGTGGGCACAGGTACCACTGCCCTCTGGGAAACCCGGCGATGGTCGGTACCTGCCTCCGGCGCTGCTCGGCCCACACCCTCCCATTTCCCCACGGCTCCCCCGGCCCTGCCCCATCGCCCTGCTCAGCCTCCGATGGATTTGGCTAGAGTCTTTGGTCCAGGGGCCCGAGCCCCCAGCCCTGACCCTTCCCCAGAACGCACCATGACTCCCTGTTTTCAGCCACACCCAGCGTTGTCCGGGTCTGCGGGGCGCCCTACCTGTGCCGGGGGAGGCGGGAGCAGCAGCCTAGGACCCCGCCCAGGCAGAGCCGGCACTACGCATGCTCCCAGGAAGCCCCGCCTCCCCGGGCTTGGCACCTCCGACTGCCACGCCCACAATTCCGCACCACCGCCCCCCTTGCCTGTCCCGACAAGGGCCTCCTGCTGCCCGCAGGTTCTGGAGAAAGTGTAAGGACTAAGGGACGCCCTGGCGCCTCTTTGGAGCCTGGGCAACAGCCAGGCCCTGCCCTGCCTCCAGGATCAGGCTGGCCTCAACAGAACAGCAAAGATCCTCCATCCAAGTAGGAGTGTTTCCCTGTGTGTGTGATGTATATATATGGTGATGCTCCAACACCCCACCTCATCCTTCCCTCTGATCTTGGAGGAAAAGTAGGTTTCCTTCTGGCAATACCTAAGGCCATCGCTGCTCTGGGAAGCCTCATCGGCCCCTACCCGTCCCCATCACGCTGGGGCTGAGGCAGCCTTTCCTGGGAGCTACCCTCAAAGCCACCCAGTGGATCACAGAAGCTCTCCTGCAAGGCCCCAGGGGGGGGCCCGGGCTGTCCTGAACAGTGAGCGGCCGGGAGAGAGGAGGACGTCCCGGGCCAGCGGACTGGGGAACCTGCCTAGGCCGACCCTCTGACACAGGCAGGCGGCCACCATTCATCTGAGCACCTGCCCTGCTGTGGGGCCCAGGAGTGGGTCCCATTGAAGAGACAGAGATGGTAACAGCTCTTTTCCTTGAGAAGCAGACAATCTGATGCTTCCGTATTTAAATTAGTGGGTGGAAAGCATCATTCGCCCTTGAGCTCTGGAACCCTAAGGTGGCTTTTCCCCTCCGATGAAGGCCTACCTGTGGAGAGAGCTACTGGCTAAGAGCAACTGAGGTAGCCCCGTGGCTTCCTGCTTGCTCGAAAAGAATGGAACAGAAACGTGACAAATGACATCATGACATTGCTGCATGGCAAGAAGGTGCCAGGAAACGTGACAAGTGACACCATGACATGGCTGCATGGCAAGAAGGTGCCACGAGCAGCCATTGTCCATGTGGTCCCTTGCCCTGTGCTTGGATCAAATGAGATGATGGTCCTTTGGACCGATGGGCTCAGTATGTGGTTTTGAACTCCTGAAAAGGGATGGCAGCCCATCCAGGGCAATGGGCAGGGCCAAAGCCGCTCTCACAGCATAAACACCGGTCACGGCCGGCCACCCTGGCTCCACCTTCAGCGATGGGGCCGGTTCTGGCCTAGACCTTCCTCCTATGGAGCCCTCAGAACCTGGAGGAGGTTTAGTCCAGAGTGCTTTGCAACCTGGGGGCCTGGGAAGGCTATAGCGATTACTGGGGTGGGAAGGAGGAAGGAGACACCACCCAGACCCCGCTGAATCAAGTGCCTGGGTGTGAGCCCCACAAGACAGCAGGGGACCAGCTGACCAGGATGTCCACACACAGAAGCACCCCTGCTGTGAGAAGTGAGATCCCTAAGAAGGGGCAGCTCTCCCTTCACAGCTAAGAGCTGAGGATGGATTCCAATTGACTCAATTTTTAAATCAACTTGAACACTCCCAGTATTACAAATATTGGGAAAAGAGATTTTTTTTTTTTTTTTTTTTTTTTTTTTGGAGGCAGAGTTTTGCTCTTGTTGCCCAGGCTGGAGTACAATGGTGCGATCTCGGCTCACCGCAACCTCCGCCTCCGGGTTCAAACAATTCTCCTGTCTCAGCCTCCCGAGTAGAGTAGCTGGAATTACAGGCATGTGCCACAACGGCGGCTAATTTTGTATTTTTAGTAGAGACGGGGTTTCTCCATGTTGGTCAGGCTGGTCTCAAACTCCTGACCTCAAGTGATCCACTCGCCTCAGCCTCCCAAAGTGCTGGGATTACAGGCGTGAGCCACCACGCCCGGCCCGAGATTGATTTTTTTTTTTTTCTTGATACGAAGTCTTGCTTTGTTGCCCAGGCTAGGGTGCAGCGGTGCTATGTCAGCTCACTGCAACCTCCGCCTCCTGGGTTCAAGCGATTCTCCTGCCGTAGCTGGGATTATAGGCTCCTGCCACCGTGCCCAGCTAATTTTTATATTTTTCGTAGAGACAGGGTTTCACCATCTTGGCCAGGCTTGTCTTGAACTCCTGACCTCATGATTCACCCACCTCAGCCTCCCAAAGTGCTGGGATTACAGGCATGAGCCACCGCGCCTGGCTGAGATTTTTTGAAAGTTATTTATTTTTGGAAAAGCCTCCAACCCTGCACAAACCAGCCTACCCTCTGTTAATGGCTATTTCATTGCCATCATTCATTCAGAAGAGATTTCTTGGGGTGTCCTAGACACATAAGCTCTCTTTTCTTTTCCATGGTGGTTACTGCTCTGTCATATTTGTGGTGTTGAGTTCACCTCTTCATCCACCCACAGTTTCAAATAGCACTGTTGATGACTGCTAACACCTTGAGCCCCTGGGCTCACTGCGCCACAATTACCTATGTAAATTTCATTAATAAACTACCTGTTAAATTCAATAATTATCTTAATTAAAAGTTCACTATAGTCCTAGGAGGTACATGCTAGTATCATCCCCATTTCACAGATGAGAAAACAAGCTGAGATGTTAATTAACTTGCACAAAGTCACACAAGTAATCGGTAAAGCTCGGAGTCAAATCGAGCCAGCGCCCAAGTGTCCTTAACCATCGTTAATGGTGGTTAACTCACTGAGTTAATTCACCAAACGAACCAAGCCTTGCTAAACACCTCTCTTCTTCTGCTTCTTCTTCTTTTTTTTTTTTTGAGATGGAGTCTTGCTCTGTTGCCCAGGCTGGAGTGCAGTGGCATAATCTTGGCTCACTGCAACCTCTGCCTCCTGGGTTCAAGAAATTCTCCTGCCTCAGCCTCCCAGGTAGCTGGGACTATAGGCGCGCACCACCACACCTGTCTAATTTTTGTATTTTTAGTAGAGATGGGGTTTCACGATGTTGGCCAGGCTGGTCTCTAACTCCTGACCTCGTGATCTGCCCGCCTTGGCCTCCCAAAGTGCTGGGATTACAGGCGTGAGCCACCGCGCCCGGCCAACACCTCTTAAGGGTCAAGTACTGATTTAAGACCTGGGGGTCCATCAAGAATGACAAATGCTCCCGGCTCTCGGGCGGTTCCCGGCCAATGGAGGAGAGACTCACTTGTAAAAAAAACATGCTCAACTCAAACAGGACACTGAGGCATGAAGAGAAATGGCCAATATTGCAGATGAGAAGCCTGGGAGGGCTTGCGCCTGCTTAGACATGGCTCATGATCGTCGTATGCTGAGCACTTTTATGTCGGGCACTAGACTTACTGTTTATTTAGCACTCACAATTCCATGAGGCAGGAACTAATTATTATGCCACTTTAAGGTTAAGGAAACTGAGGCACAGACAACATGAATCATTGATTCAAAGTCACTCAGCGGGCAAGCTGGGATGGGAAAGGATGAGTGGGTGCTTTTCTGGCCAGGGCCAGGGGCGGGGCCTTCCCACTTCGGGGCCGCACTGCAAAGGCCAATGCGTGTCTGGAAACTGCAAGCTGTGCAGTGTGGCTGCACCAGAGGCTGCAGGCTGCTCAGAGGAAGGCGACGCTGGACTCTGTAGCCAAACCAGCAAATATGGACTTCGTCCTGCAGGCAATGGCAGTGCCATTTAACAGACAGAGGATGGCAGGAGGGATCGGCCTGGCGTAGAAGAGACGTTCTGGGGTCAGGGCGAGTCCGAGGTACCTGTGGAACACGCACCCACCAGGCAGCTATGCAACTTGGGGCTTAGGAAGGGCCGAGCTGGAGCTCTAGCTGGGTGGGCCAAACCTGCTGGGAGGCGAGACCATGAACGTGGGGGCAAGATTTGCCTGGGAAGGGTTGGCAAAGATTGTCAGTGTGGGGAGTTTGTTAAAAATGCAGCTCTCCGGGCCCGCACGACCCCCCTAGCTGAGAAGCTCTTCTGCAGTGAGAGGGAAGGGCTCGCCCCAGGATAGGGGTTAAGGAACCTCCGCCTTCAATGGCTGGCAGTGGACTGGAATCCGGCAAGACACTGAGAGTGGGATCCTGGAGGGAGGAAAACTGGGAGACGGAGGTCCAGGGAGGAGAGGGGTCAGGGCGGAGTGGCCGGTTTGTGGGAAATGCCACCTGGTGGCGGAGCGCCCTGCGGAGCCTCCTGGCTGGGGCAGAAGCCAGATTTCAGGGGCTGGAAGAGAAAGCCTCTTCTGGTGAGGGGCTGGGCTGGCGGGGAGGTCGCGAGACGGGGTGCGGAGGGTGGGAGCCACCGAAGCCGCTGGGGAGGAGGCACTGGAGGAGAGAGGGGCAATCTTCACGGCAGAGGACGGCGGACTTCCCAAGGGAGGAGGGCGCCTTAGGCAGAAGACTGAGACCCTCCCCCCGAGGCAAGAGTGGAGGCGGGAGCAGGGGCGGGTCGCGGAGGGCGCTCGTGCTCAGCAGCCTCCAGGATCCCCCACGTAGAGGGCACCGCTGTTTGCGAGAAAGGCGACGAGGCAGCGGGGTGGCGGCGGGGACGCTGCTGCGGGGACGAGGGCGCCGGCGGGAGGCAGGGACACGCCGCCCAGCCCAGGGGGCGCGCTCCGAGGAAGACCCGGGCGCCCGCCGCCTCCTCCCCGGGCTCCGCAGCCGCCGCCCCGTGCCCTCCACCTGCGACCTTCACCCCCCTCACCGTCGCCACGGGCCTGGAAACCTCTTCCAGCGTCCGTTTCAGGGCGACTGTCGTTTTGAGAGAGTGCAATTTCTTGTTCTGTGTGTCTTGTTTTTAGCCTTTTCTTCTAGGAGGCATTAAGTCATGAACGGGGCGAGGGGGTTTGCCATCATGGGGCCCGCGGAGTCTGTTTAGGCAGCAGCCCCCGCTGCAAGAAGCCCCCCACAGCCTGCGAACCACACACGCCCTCCATGCGGCAGGAAACACAGAATCGTCCGATTTCAGAGCTCAACCCCTAATTCAGACCCTTCTTTCCCGCGCCTTTATCTCATCTTTGCAACAGGCAGGGATTGCATCCAGGGCCCCCAGGATGTGGTTGCTATCTTCACTGTGCTGTCATGGAGCCCTGGGAGCTGTGGCCAGGCCCCATCAGGGGCAGGAAGCCAGTCCTCCTCCCAGGAAGCCCCTGTGCTCCCCGGCCCTCACAGCACAGCGTAGGGTCCGCGGGTCCATGAGGAAGGACACTTGAGGGAGCCTGCACCCAGGCTGGTGCGGCCGTCCTAATCTCAGGCACAGGGTCCATGTCCTTCAGGATCTGCAGATGAACAACTGCCACCCCTGCCTGGGTAGGACTGGGGACCCTGAGGGAGAAAAGCAGCTGCCCCATGCAGGGGTAGAATGGGCAGCACGGGCTCCCCTTCCACGCAAGGGCATCCCAGGAATTTCAGGCGTGTCAGGGGCAGCAGTTACCATGGGAACAAACACGCCCGGGTTTCTAAAGGCAGATGCTGATGAAATCACAGGGGACTCATAAGAGTGCTGGGCCCAGGCAGATCTCCATTGGTCCAACAGCGATCCTCTGAGCCACACCCTGCAAGCATGATCAGAACCAGCATTTAAAAAAATATGCAAGGCTTCAAGATAAGATGGAGCAAGTGGTGAAATACAAAACAACTTTATAGAGCTGAGTGGGCTGGGGAAAATATCTTATGCAAAACAGAAGCGGTGCAAGCTGCCAGCTCTGGTCCTATGCTTCAGACACTCATTTGCTATGAATACTGTGAAAGCAAGTGAATACATAGATTTAAATTTTTTTATGTTGTATGTGATACATACAAAATATATGCAATGTATACATAAGTCATGAGGTATAATAACCAAATGAACACTTGTGAACCTAGCACCAGCTCCACAGGGCCACTACCAATGGATTTCTTCTCCAGGCCAGCCCCTTCCTTCCCCAGAGGGGGCCTATATCCTTATGCGTGTATGTTTTTCAATGAGAGTTTTTTGCTTCACTGGACAATTCCCCCTGGGAGCTACCTACGGACTACAGTGGAAGGTTTTAGTTGTTGTTTTGGGGTTTTGTTTTGGGTTTGGTTTTGGTGGTAGTGGTAAAATCCTTTGTTCTGAAATGTTTTCAGACCAGAGCCTCCTCCCTGTGGTCACTCTGACTACAGCTAAGATTGTCCTTCCTCTTAGATAAGTGTTCTCAAAGTGCTTAGACTCACTATTTCCCTGGGAGCGGCGTCTTCCTCATGGAAATGAAGAACATTTTTCAAACAACATATGGATTTCAAAGGTGCAAATACATGAACTGTAAAATATGCACTCACTTTTCTACTCCTCCCAGTGGCCTCCTCTAATGTTTACTGAGCATTTACTAAATGCCCAACATTGTAAGCATTTTACATTCCCTAATTTAATCCTCATAACAATACTACACGTTACTTTATCATCTGCATTTTATGCATGAGAGAAGCAAGGTGCAGAGAAGCGATCATTTGCCCAAGCGCACACAAGGTAAGGCAGAGCCAGGATTACCTAAGCCACCAAGGCCACAGAGCAAGGCCCACAGTGCGACTCATCACTCTCCTTCTTAGACTCTGTACAGGTCTCTCACTCCCCTTTGGTCCCTCTTCCTCCTCCATCAGACCTTCAAATGCTGGTGTGACCCAGGGCTGGGCTCAGTGCTCTCCTGACTGGAAATGTTCCGCCTGCATGATTTTTAAAATCTACACTCATGACTCCAAGTGGAGAGGCCAAGGATCCTGAGCACTTGATCTCAGCCTCGGGCCTCTCTCTTGCATTTCCAAGCCCACCTCAAACTCACCACCTGACACACTGGAGTCACCTTCTAATGCTCCTCTCTCTGTGACCCTCTCAGTGGGTGGGACCACCCCTAGTCACCATCCCCACAGCTCAGTCTCCTGGTTCCACAGATGAGCCCTCTAGGCCTTCTGAACCTCTCCCATCCCATCCCATCCCACCCACCCATCCATCCATCCCACCCATCCATCCATCCACCCATCCATCCACCCCACCCATCCATCCATCCATCCATCCATCCCACCCATCCATCCATCCATCCATCCCACCCATCCATCCATCCCACCCATCCATCCATCCATCCCCCATCCATCCATCCCCCATTCATCCATCCCACCCATCCATCCATCCATCCATCCCACCCATCCATCCATCCCACCCATCCATCCATCCATCCCACCCATCCATCCATCCATCACACCCATCCATCCATACCACCCATCCATCCATCCATCCCACCCATCCACCCATCCATCCCACCCACCCATCCATCCCACCTATCCATCCATCCATCCACCCATCCATCCATCCATCCCACCCATCCCACCTATCCATCCATCCATCCCACCCATCCATCCATCCATCCATCCATCCATCCATCCCCCATTCATCCATCCCACCCATCCACCCATCCACCCATCCCACCCACCCATCCATCCCACCTATCCATCCATCCATCCACCCATCCATCCATCCCACCCACCCATCCATCCCACCTATCCATCCATCCATCCCACCCATCCATCCATCCCACTCATCCATCCACCCATCCATTCCATGACCTTCACTCTTGAAGTCCAGCTGCCAGCACTTCACATCCAGGTTCCTGCACAGCCTTCTCATAGAGTTGTGTGCTTCCACACGGCCCCCTGGAATCCATACTCCCCGCAACAGCTAGACTAGAAGGATCTCTCTAAACAAAACTGCAGCCCTGCCTCTCTGCTTGATGATTACTTATAGCTCTAATCCTAATCCTATGAGTGCTGAACTTGGAAATGGGGGACATCACAAGCTAGCTATTTTACCTTAAGCCTGAGACTGAGTATCTCTCTCAACCTCAGGTTCTCCATTTGTAAAATGGAGAAAATAAGATCTCCAGACCTGAACCATCAACTCTGAGGGTGGGGCCCAGCAGCATGTGTTTTAATAAGGCCCCTGGATGACTCTGATGAATTCTTAAGCATGAGAACCACTGGTACATTCTAATTCACAGTATTAATCACACATACGAAATGAGTTCTTCTGGAGAATAATTTTTGTGTGGCTTCAATTTTCATCATCAAAACAACCAACTGTCTACATGAAAACTCTCCTAGTCTGCTCCTAAAATACTCTGGCGTCAGTCATGAGAACTTAAGTAAATCCTGTGATCACTTTGAATCTCAGTTTCCTCACATGTGAAATGAGAGGAGAAAACTAGAAGTGAGGTCGGCAAACTTCAGACTACAGGCCACTGCCTGTTTCTGTATGATCTGCCAATTGAGAGTGATTTTTACATTTTAAAATGATTTTTAAAAATCAAAAGGAGTATAATATGTGAACACTGCATGAAATTCAACTTGCAGCGCCCCTAAATAAACTTTCATTGAAACCCAGCCATGCCCATTCATTCACGTTTTGTCTATGGCTGCTTTTGCACCATAACGGCCGAGTAGCTGCGACAGAGAACATATGGCCATGGAGCCTACAATATTTATTACCTGACCTTTTAAAGTTTGCCAGCCTCGGGGCTAGAAGATGACTACATTCTCCTCCAGCTCCATATTTCTACAATCCTATTACTTTACAGATTTTACTGTGTTCCTATCTTCAAATATCGCTAGCTATTTACATAGCAATACACCTAGTCAGCAAGCTGAAGTTTTGAAAATGCAATTACTGCTCTAGGTCATTAATTCTAGTGAATAAACCATGTTAATGTAAAGCTGTATTACTTTGTTCCAACACTTAACCATTGCTGCGGCATTTTACATAATTCCATCTCGTGAACGAGGTCCTATCAGTGAGAACAAGCAGTGTGCTGAGGCTTCCGGAACACGCTCTAGCCCATTATCCTTGCTCAGAACATTAAGGCACTTTCTTTTTTTTTTTTTTTTTTTTTGAGACAGAGTCTCACTCTGTGGCCAGGCTGGAGTGCAGTGGCACAACCTCGGCCCACTGCAACCTCCGCCTCCCGGGTTCAAATGATTCTCCTGCCTCAGCCTCCCGAGTAGCTGGGACTACAGGCACACACCACCACGCTCAGCTAATTTTTTTTATTTTCAGTGGAGTTGGGGTTTAACCACGTTGGCCAGGATGGTCTCGATCTCTTGATCTCATGATCCGCCCACCTCAGCTTCCCAAAGTGCTGGGATTACAGGCGTGACATTAACGCACTTTTAGTGGCTGGTTTGCTGTTTACATTTCCCGTGCCTAAATCTACCCTATTCAATAATGGTTTCAATAAAGGAATTCTTCCTGAGGATCGTGCAGTGGGGAGGGGGTACCACCTTCAATGAAGAGAATGTATGTCCTGTACTGCCCCTTTCCTGGCTCATTCTCTCAGATTCCTAATTAGCCTTGGCTGCCTGCAGAGGAAGAACAGGGGGCTCCTTGGGGATGCCCCCAAGTGATGGGGGGATCAAGTCCTGCTCTTCTCATGAAAAGAATCATATTATGTTAGGGCTGAGAGGCACCTTAGAGAACATTCAGTTCAGCCCATTATGGTGAAGCCAAGAAAGTATAAGTGACTTGCCCAAGGTCAGGCAGCCTGTCTGTAGTAAATCTGGCGCTAGAGCCCACATCTCTTGACTCTAAATCCAGTGAGCTTTGCAGCATCTCAAAATCCTTTTTTGAAACGCCCGACATTCTTCTATTCCATGTCAAACTTGAGAATTTAAGGGAAGGACCCTGAGAGAGAGAACACGCTGGGTAACCTTCTGGGCAGCAGCTGACACCAGTTCATTTTCCGAGGCCTGGGGGCGGGAGAAGAGGGAAATCCCTAGGCCAGGGATTCCCCAATGAGCTCAGTGAGGAGAACCAGACTTGATTTTAATTCTTTTAAAATTTCCAATCTATTGTAGACTAATGGTTTTGTGGAGTACAATAAAAAGGAGGAAGCAGTGTTTGATTGTTTTGAAAATTTCTGACTCAATTTCAGTTCTTGCCTCATCCCAGACCAGTAACAGTTTGAGGACCGTACTCTGGAAACCACACTCTGAGCCACATTGATCTCATCCACAGACTGGTGTTGGCACAAAGGATGCAAAAGAGGCCAGAAGCTTGGAAGACCATGTTGGGAAGCCCACAGTGCCACACTGGCCCCCAGTGAATGGGCCCATGGCCAAGGGGACACTTTCAGCTCTTCAAGCTCCAGCACAGCTGCCTCTGACAGGAACCTAAAGCCTCTGACAATATCACCGAGGCTCTTCAAAGACCAACTTCTTCAAACAGTGCTTCTACCAAAAAGGAGGCACAGCTTCATCTTAGGGCAATTAGATCTGTTGAATCACTACCTTGTAACCTTCTTAAAATACAAGTGCTATCGAACCAAGGCTGAGTTTGTAATACCTTTGGAAGACTGGGCATGAATAAAGGATCCTGACACCATGAAACAGGAGTTGACACGTTATGAATCTTAGACTTTGAAGAACCTAGAAGACCATCTGCCTGAAGTAAGAGTTACCTTAATCAGCTTTGTCTCAAGCAAGAACAGACTAATGGTGAGGATAGCCCCACTGTGCAAAGGAAATGGGACAGAGGAATGGAAATTGTTGAAAATCAGAATCTTTGCAGAGTAGTATCTATGCTGCATGTGGCTCAAGGCCATACAGAAGCACCAGCAGGAAAACCCACACTGCCACGCACACTGTACCCTACCTCACCCTAAAGCCGTCCTTAAAAATGGGTTTATTTGGAAATAATGTCAAACTTATAAAAAGTTGCAAGAATATTACAGAGAATACCAACATACCCTTTATTCAAATTCACCTACTGTAATAATTTTGCCCCATCTGATTGATTACGCTCTCCTGCCTTTCTCTCTGTGTGTGTGTGTGTGTGTGTGTGTGTGTGTGTGTACAGAACCAGTTGACAGTAAGCTGCATGCACCATTGCCCTTTTATCTTATATGCTACAGTGTGTATTTCCTAAGGATAAAGGCATTCTCTTACAGAACCACAGTATATTACCAACTACAGTCAATTTCATATTGATCTAATAGCTTCATCTAACCTACTGAATTGGATTCTAATCTTGTTGACTGGCCCAATAATGTTCCTTTCTTCCCACTCCAGAAAAGATCCTTCATACTTAGTTGGCATGTCTCTATTTAGACTTCTTTAACCCAGAGTGATTACAAGCCAGTTTTATTTTGTTGAATGCTATTTGCAACTGAATTACCAATAGTCTTAACGGAAGACATGGAACTATCAGACGCATGGAGGTCCTGTTCAGTTGCCATCTTGGGTTTGGGGGGCACACTGCTGTGTTTTCAGGAAGTTTCTGTTTGAATGGGGACTTTCTGGTGCTCCCAGAGACTAAAACCCTCCTGGTGTGGTCCCAGAGTATGTCACGTTCCACACTGTGGTGAGGTCTTCCTCAATTTCCTTCATATTTGACCATTCTTGGGATAGTCAAACTAGCCACAGAGGTGTGATGGCATAAGATTGGGCCCACAGCAGCTAAGTAACCAGATTCAATCACTACAGCCCACTTATTGGCACACATCTTAATTAGGTTTTAATGCAAGTAATTTGATAACAACTCCTGGCCGTCCGCTACGGAACCGTCAATGCTGAAAGCTTTTTATTTAGCTCCTCTTCTGTCCAAACCAAGGCAGCCTCCCCGCTGACCCTTGTCAAAGAACCCCATCTGCTGGTTGCCACGGTAACTGAAGGCGACCAATTGAGCTGAACAGAGTGACTCAGAAATAAAATCTGCAGCCAAAGGAATTCTGCAAAGAGCAATAAATCATTCAGTAAAAGGGGGTCCTCCACACACTGATGAGTGTTGGGATAATATGATGGCATAACTCTTCCAGCTAGAAGGTCCATGACAGATCAGAGTGATTAGGCCTGCTGGAGGGCTCATTTGGTTTCTAGTGGGTTCCAGCAGCAGACGAGATGGAGCCTGCCCAGTTGTGTGCCACTGTGGGGGAGAAGGAATACGCGGAGTCAATTTTTAATATTTGGGCTGCAAAATTTTGCTTTTTGAGGAGTGGCAAGAGAACCAGTCTAGGCTTCCAACACCCCTTCCTCTATTTTTCAAAAGTAGCACACGTTCACAGAATGCCCCATTTTAGCCCAAAAAGCACCTTGAGCCTTGAGGAAGGTGACAAAGAACAAATACCAAGATTGCTTTGCAATATGCCAGTTTAGCACCATCTCTCTGTCATCAATCAACTTTTAGGTGTTCCAACCAGAAACCCTCTGTGTGCATAAGCCTTGGGTCCTCGCGAAAGCAGGGGAGAGCCTGGGATTCAACTCAGAGGCCCCAGAGGATCTCTGAGGATGATCTGAGAGCGGACGAGGGGTTTGTCTCTCCCCAGGACTGGGTCAGTGTTGCTTATGGAGCCCCATACACATCCTTCCCACATTAAGATTTCCTGAGTAAGAGGCGCCGGAGGGAAGGGGGAGCAGGGGCCTTCTTCCAGGCTGCTCCCGGTTACAGTACACAGTGGCCCCTCACCCCTCACACCACAGGCCATGGGTCCCAGTCACAGCCCCCACTCCTGGTGAGCACCTGCTGGGTAGACTCGGAAACCCCTGCAGGCAATAGAAAGACCCCCGCCCCAGACATGCTAAACCATCCAGACAGTATTCACTGCTATATGTCCGTCTCTTGGTTGTGTTGGGAGAAGCAAAGCTTAGTGGCGGCGGTAGAACTGCCCTGATAGCAAATGACAACAGGAGAGGGGCTGTAGGACAGGGCTCAGGGCCTGTGCGTGTCCGGGAGGGGCTGCAGGACAGAGCTTGGGCCTGTGCGTGTCTGGGGGCGGCCTGCCCTGCCAGCTCCTCTCCTCCCAGGCTGAATGCCACCTTTTACAGAGGTGCATTGGCAGGATCCGGACATTCCCCCAATCCCTGACCCACATGGCAATGGGGTACCCTATTACTAAGTCATCCCTAGAGATAATTTTCTGCTTCAGAAAAGAGCAACTGCTAAACAGAAGGTAGATTTTTCCCCGATTCTAAATGCTGCCAATAAAATGCTTCAGTCTCGGAGTTGAGTGAAATTCCGTTGACGGAGTTAGGAGCGGCTGTGCACGTTCAGGACGAGCCTCCTCCCTTACTCAACCAGTCCGAGGAGGAGCGCATCTAGCCGAGCCCTGCGCTGCCACGCCGCGTCCCGGGAGCTCCCAGCCTGCCTTCCACCCCACGCTGGGCAATTGTGCCTCTGCAGGTGGAACAGACCGCAGGGCTCCACGTGCGCCTCCCGCACGCCAGCACCTGCTCTCGGGCCACCGCGGAGCGCTCCAGGCAGGAGACACCCCTCTCCCTCGCCGGGCAGGGTGGCCTAGGCGGCCAGGTCTCAGCGCTGCCGGGCGGTGCACCGTCCTCTCGGCCTCCCTGCCCACCCAGACCTCCCGGCGGCTGCTTCGACTCTGGATACTAGGCCCGGGCTCGGCCGAGTCCCGAAGCCGCGCGAGAGGGCCTGGAGCCCGCACCTGGAGGGCAGCCGGCCGGGGCTTGGGGAGGCTGGGTGCGGAGCATCTGGCTCAGGCGACTCCACGGGGGCTCGCAGGGCCTCTGGACTTTGGCAGAAGGAGAGGATTAAACCGGGATGACGGTTGAGAGGAGGAGATGGGTGAAAGCTTCATTAACTCCATGCTCACGTCCCAAGTTCTTTCCCCTGAGAGGCAATGAGTAAAAAGGTTGATTTCCCCGCGATGGGAAAGGTGCTGCGTGATTGCATTTGCTTTTCTTACCTTTTAATTCCTTATTTGTAAACCAATGAATCATTGTTTGTCAGTGATCATGAAGGACTCAAATTTTAATAAACAGGAAAAAAAAAATCTTGGCTAATAGGCCAAAGAAATACTGCAACCCGTTTACATTTCTATGTTAGTGATTAAGCTTCTCATGTGACTTAATTGAAACTGGCAAGGATCTTGAGAACTCAAAGAAGTACTCCCCCGGCCCCCCCCCCCCCCCCCGCCGGCAACTCTCCTCCAATAACCAAACTCATTTGTAAGACCCCTCCTAAAAAGTGCCATGGAAAATGGAGCTTCCTGATTCCATAAAAATATTTTCAGTAAGTACTGCTTCATGACAGTTGTTCAGACTTGAATTCCCTTCCTCTCTTTACAAAGTTACCGTTTAGTTTCACTTCTGAGCCCTACTTCCAATTCTTTGTCTCTGCTCACTCTCCCGCTTTCTCCTCCATATTTCAATTCCCAGACACTCTTGAACTTTTGCACACGCTGCCAGTTTGAGCCTGCACAGAATAATCAGTATATTAATTCCACTCGGAGACAGTGAGATTTTTCTAACACAATCTGCCCAACCTGAACTCTTTCCTTCAGAAACACTTCGCCTTTAAAAAGAAACTTCCCAGCATGAACCTCATAAGAAGCGACATGTAACAGACAGTGCATGTGGCGCTGGGCATGCAGCTCAGAATTAAAAGAGAATTTTTTACTTTGTTTCTTCAGTGCCATGTGCATAATGTACATGTGGATGAAACTGACATCAGACATTTAAAGCAAGAAGGGGTAGGGGGAGGGGGATGTGATGGTGGCGGGAAAGAGAGAGAAAATATGTTGATAAAAACAGTAACTTCTGTTAATCTACATTTTTCAGTCACTGTCTTAATTAAGAATGTTAGGAAATATGTTGCAGTTTAATTGCATTGTTTCAAGAAATTCTAAGACTGACAAATTTGGGACCATGTACACTTGGAAGGTAAAAGAGATTAAAGTAGGGATTTCTTCCAATTGGTGGATAACAATCAAAATTATGCTTTCTACAGACACACCCCCCACACCCCCGCAGAGATCCTAAACTCGGAAGACAAAGTAAGAATATCCTAGCACTTAACATGTTCAGCATGAAATGAGTTCTGAAAATTTAAAAACGTGTTTTAAAACCTAGGTATATGAGATAAATTTTAAATACAAAGAATTGACACAGGAGAAATAGTACTTTATCTGAAATTTCTGGTGGACATTTATGTTTGTAGAAAATATTTATGAAGGAATTTGGTAACAATCTTCAAGTGATTTTCAGATGACCTTGTTTAAGATAGTAAAAGTTGTTTGCTGGAGTCACAAATCCATAAAAATAATAACAGTTTGAAGACACTTGAGATTTCTAGACTTGTGTCCTGTTCTCCTGCTGGAGTTCAGTCACACATTCTCCAGGTTTCATTTCTTTTTTTGAGGAAGCCTTTGCATTGTTCCACAGCAAATAAATTAGAATGTATTTTCATTGCTCGAAGTACCTTTGAGGGAAGCTGCAGTAGGCATGACAGCTTCCTATTTCCCACAGTTGACCATAGGTGACTCATTTTCAGCCTGGACACAGCTGACCATAAGTGAATTCATTTTTAACCTGGATGCTGCATTTCTTACTTGCTTCCGTTTTTGGGGTCATTGCCTGTGAGAAAGGAGGAAGGGCACTCTGCCCCCATGGTGTGCAGCACAGACCAGGTACTGACCTCTTTCTCCAGCCCTGGACTTAGAAACAGACAAACAAACAAAAATGCCCACCAGGTACTGACCAGCTACTCTCAGGGACTCAAGCTGATGACTTAATTCAAACTGGTTTGATGATTTAGTCAGATAAATGGACAGGTTCTTTGACTGAATCAACTAGCCATTTTATCTTCCATTAAGCACAATGTATGACACACCTGGAGCCTCAGGCTTTGTTATCTACCCCAGAGAGGAGGCAGACCTAACTATATCAGCAGCTAAAGACACTGCACTGCATGTGCCATGACCCTGAAACATCAACAAAACAAGATCTGTTTGCCCTAAAAGGCAGCTGAAATGTCCAAAGAGCCTTCCTATGAGAAGAAACTCACCAGATCTGTTCTAGTTGTGAGGTCTCACTGCTTCTCCCGCCTCCAGCCTCCCAAAATAAGAATGGCCTGAGAACCTGACCACAGTTGAAATACTGCCCATGTGTTGCCAGCCTCACAGTGTTTCAGTTCTCCAATTTACAGTATATTCATACAGTATTTAAATTATGTATTAGAGAGTAGAATCCTGAGGTCTCAAATTGCTGAGTAAATGGCACCTGTGACCTAATAGTCCAATGCTTTCACTAGTATGAAATTAGAATAATTTTTTTTAATGCCACACATGAGGTCCAAAATAGTGATGCTACATATTTCTCATGTGCTTAACACCTAGGACGACGTAAAACTCCCAGTTAACTCATTAAGAAATGAAAGATTTTCCATCTCCTGAGGCTTCTGGGAATTCTGATGGGTGGATACATCATCCTCCCTCCACCCCCCAACCCCTGATAGCAGGGCAGCCTCCTCCGAAAAGGCCTTTGTCAAGAGGCACGAAAAGCTGGCCTGCTGAGCCTGGACCCCCCGTGGAGGGCCGAGGGAGAGGACACAGAAGAGGACTGGGGCATTATTAATTACCAGATTAGGGACAGAGTAGAGTTCAGGCAGACACAGAGGCAGACAGAACCCACGAGCGTAATAAGTTGAAAAGTTCCGAGTCAAGTCTCAGAGTTCGAAGAACATTAAATGAAGAATACATAATACTGGGGGAAAAAAGGGAAGCAGTACCCGCCCGAGGGCCAATTGCCTCTCCAGCAGCGGCAAGGCTGTTCCTGGGCTCGCAGGACCATTTGTTCCATTACACAATCTCCTGAAGCCATTTAGAGAGAGCTCAAACAACTGCCTGTACCAACACGACACATGGCTTCCCATCCCGACTCTGCTAATCCAGACGCTCCAACCATCTTTCCTTAAGATGCCATATGGTTGGCAGAAGCCTGTAGATCTAGCAGCACATCTGCTTGTACGTTTCTTCTTCCCTCCATCCCCCAACAAAAGAGGGATCGAGAGACAGACTGAGGGGAGAGCATGCTTGTGTACCTCTGCCTATACAGATATTTCTTCTTATGCACTCTAACAACAACAACTATGAAAGAGATGACCAGGAAGTATTCAGGGCTCGATCATTTTTAACTAGAGAACATAGCGATTTTTCTTTTGCTTGTTGATGCTATAGAAGAAGATGAGAAAAACAAAGGGTGGACAGTCTCCTTTCTCCCAAGGATGGTGACTTTAAAATCACTTCAAAGCTCGCTCTCTCTGGGAATCCTTGTGATGCTGTCTTGCCACAGGAGGGGGACAGCACCCTTGCCTGAATCTATTTCTTCTCTTCTTTTCGGTCAAGGAAGACAGACAAGCTGAGAAACTAGCAGATACCCAGAGCCTGCTTTGTTAGCAAGCACAGCACGGCTGTATGCTAATGAGTCGGCACCGACACAGGGCTTTTTTGGTGTGATGAGCAAAGATTGTTGACACCGTTGAAATCCTGGCTCCCCTGGCCTGTGAGTGCACGGGCTGCTTCCTTGGAATCCAGCCCCCAGTGAGACAGGCTGCAAAAAAAAGAAAAAAAAAAAAAGGAAAAGGAAAAAAAAATTCTACTCTCCTAATGACTGAAATCTGGCCATTTGTAACTTAGAGCAGTTGGGAAAAGTGGGGGCATTAGAAAAATATTCCATCAGGCCAGGGATCAAAAGACACAGGTGAAAAGTATGGGTTTCCTCTGAACTAGAAACGAAACCTGGTGAGCACATGTGAGTGATGACGGCCAGGATGCTTTAGGAGCAAAAACCCAAAAGGCGGAGTGAGGGGGATTCTGAGGCCCCAGCCCCGTCGGGGCAGCTGGAGCACTTGCGCCACATCTGGGCAGAAGGCACTGCACACATGGGACAGCCTCGTTGGTGGCTTCATCTCAGTCAGGTGAAAGGCGAAGCATCTGATCTCCTTGTAAATCTGTTTAGACCTTGTGTTGTTAACCAGACATGGTTTTTCTTGTGTGTGGAACTATGATCCAGTGAAAAAACAAAGCAAATATTCTACTGTTGCTATACTTTTTTTTTTTTGGTAACAAAGAAGGGTGGAAAGGGGAGTTACATATTTTGAGTATGGGGCATGTTATCTGAAGTACCCCTTTACTTGCCAAGAAACTCTGAGAGATAGGTATTATTATTCCAGTTTAATAGATGAGGAGACTGAGGCTTAGAAGACTAAAAAAAAAAAAAAAAAAAAACCAACACTTTCGCAAAGCCCTGTAGCTAGGAAGGGACCAAACTGAAAAGGCCATGCCTATCTCCTTACAATACGCTAGGTTCCAGATGCACACATGCACTCGCAGGCAGATACATTACCTCATGAATATGCCCAGGGTCCAATATGCCAATCTGAGCAGATCACTGTGAGCTGGTGAGCAATAAGCTAGTTATCATTAGTATGCAGGCAGGGGCATCAAATTGTAAATTCAGTTTACTTGTAATCCACAATATGAATGAAAATTCATGTAACTGAAATGTAAAAACATGAGGAGTGACTGAAAAAGCACTGAAAATTATAATAAAAATCAGAATTTATCCACTCAAAAAAGTATGCCCTTCAAATTATTCACCTTGAGGACAGCATGTATATTTCAACCACACTGCCATTGCCTAGGACTCTGCTGACATGTTCTTTTATTTGGAACTGCCTTCATAGCCAAGGGCTTAGTGGTACAAATATCTTTTGTAGGTAGCTACATATACAAGTTTGTGAGTGAGGATGTATTAAGTGCATTTCATCAAAATCATACATTTTAACAAAAAAAGCATGCCATGGATGCTATACTACTCAAAAAAATGACAAATCAGCCTAAACTAGATAATATGAGTCCAATTCGACCGTTAATAAAGTCAAGAAACTATTATTAGCAATTCTCAAGGTTATCATCATTGATATGTGGCTTTGTAGAAGGATAAATCTGAATTTAAAATAGATCTGGGTCGAAATCTGAGCATGATCCTAAGCAAATCCTTGTAAGCCTATCCTTTCATTTGCTCTATAAAATCATACTATGTCTCTCACAAGATTGTTATGAGAATTGGAGAGTATATAAAGTGACTGGTGCTTAGTAGATCCTCAGTAAATAAACATACAATCATTATTATTTTCACAGGGTGCTTCAGAGCATATACGAAGTACTTTTCACATACGTTAGCTCAGTCAACTCTGAAACCCAGCTCTGTTATGTAGGAAGTATTTCTTCTATCTAATGAATGAGGTAATTGTGATTCAATAATAAAAATAGCAAAAGCAATAAACAATATGTATTGAGCTCTTTCTATGTGCAGTTACTGTACTAAATGCTTTGTCAGCCATTTTATTTTTATTAATTAATTCTTTTAGAGACAGGGTCTTCCTCTGTCATGCAGGCTGGAGTGCACTGGCATGATCACAGCTCACTGCAGCCTCAAACTCCTGGGCTCAAGTGATCCTCCCACCTTGGTCTCCCAAAGCACCGAGTTTACAGGTATGAGCCATTGCACCTGGCCGCATTTTAAAATCTTAACATCAGGCCAGGTACGGTGGCTCATGCCTGTAATCCCAGGACTTTGGGAGGCTGAGGCGGGTGGATCACCTGAGGTCAGGAGTTCGAGACCAGCCTGACCAATATGGTGAAACCCCATCTCTACTAAAAATACAAAAATTAGCCAGGCATGATGGTGGACGTCTGTAGTCCCAGCTACTCGGGACACTGAGACAAGAGAATTGCTTGAACCCGGGAGGCGGAGGTTGCAGTGAGCCAAGATCATGCCACTGCACTTCAGCCTGGGTGACACAGCTGACTCCGTCTCAAAAAAAAAAAAAAACCTTTGAAGAAGGTATTATTGATAATATTATGATCCTCATTTTATGGACAGGGAAACTGAGGCTAAGAGATGCTACAATATCTTGCCTAAGTTCACAGGGGTAGTAAGTGGTAAAGCTGGAACACAATCCCAGGTCTGTCTTCTAAACCTATTATTGCAGCAACGGCTGGAAAATCCTGTGCCCTTTTGTCCATACAACAAGGTCCTTGGGTGGAACTCACGTAGAGCTACTGGGCATTTGATAAGGAAGTTTTGTAGCACAAAAATCCTTGTCCTTACCAAATTTCTGTGTATGCTACCAAACTTTACAGAGTTCATGGTTCAATCATCCTATGTATGTTGACATACACTCATACATGTGTATGAACACTGGGTGCTCCCTACAGCATAGTTAAAAATTAAGGCAGTGTTCTTTATAAGATGGCAGGACGTGACATGCGTTTCAATGCTTCACACACAAATACACACCAACAAAGCTGTCATTATATATGTGGAATCTGATTTAACATAACTAAAATTGTCAGAAATTTCTTATCAAGAGAATAGTCTTTCAGTAAAAATGAACTATCCAGAGAAGCCTTCCAAATCAAAATTATTTGCAAAGGATGCTAGAACATTTGGAGGTTCCTGATCAGATGCTGATATGAAGAAATGTAAACGGGTGGATCTCAAATGTGGATTTGCGGTGCACATATGTGCTTAACCAGACAACTCTCTCCGAATAAAGCCACTGGGCTTCTCTTGTGAACTCTCCTCTTGTATCTGATGATAGAAGAAAAGGATGCTGGAATCTCAGCTGGGTTGTTCTCTACCATTCTGTTCACTCCCTCACTGGTGTCTCCTTTATCTGACTGGAGCTGGACTGATTGCTATAAGCCAAGTCTCTCTCACTGGTTCTCTCCTCTGGTACCACAGCTTCCACACTCCTGATTTCACTGCTGACTTCAATCCAGTTCAAAGTGGAACATGGAACAGGATTTAAAAAGACAAACAAAAAAATGAAAGCCTTTGCTATCCCTCCAGTGCTTCCAGATTCATCAATCTTTGATCACATAATCAGTCAACGGTCAATAGCAGTGTCCAGGAGGGTCTACGCACAATAGGTTGTGAATGGAGATGTGTTACCTGGAATTTAGCGCTGTTTGGGCACAAGGTGCCCCCCAGGTTTCCAACTTTAAGGGTATAAATCTTGAAGGCATCTAGAAAGGATTCTGGAATGCAGCATGAGGAAGCAGCACTCCTATCCCTCCAGAGTGGAGACCTGCATATTAACTGCTCCACCCAGAGTGAGACCTGGTTCCCCAGTGGGAGACACTGTCAATTATCTGCCTCTCATTAATTTAATAGGCTGCAATAGTCCCGGGTTGTACCGCAAAAACAGAAGTATTGTCATATTCTAACTTTGGTAACAGTACGGGCAGAATGAACTTTCCCTGCTGGACTTGAGCACCTTCCTTAGTCAGCTTGTCTACTCTCGATAGGACCTGTGTAACATCACCTCCCAGGCATAATACAGGCTCATTTCCTATTACAGGCTGCTTCCTGTGCTGGACACTTTAAACAATTCACCTAGCTAATGTTTGTTGAGTACTTACTATGTGCCCTGCACTGTTCTTAACATTTCTGTGTAATAACTCATTCAATCCTTGAGAGAAGACTGTGACACAGGTAGCACGACTGTCATAATTTTACAGATGAAGAAGTTTACTCCCATGTTAAGTAGCTTGCCCTAAAATCGCATAGCACAGAAATAGTAGAGACAGGATTTGAACTTAAACTGTCTGAGTTCAGAACCTGCACTGTTAACTACTCTTCTCTCTAGTGAATCTCAGAGGCATTAAGTAGGAAAGGGTATGAGGCCCAGCCTACCAGCCATGGGAATCTGTGACATTTAGCCTCTCTAGGCCTGAATTCCTTCAAAGTAAAATTTAATTTTAACAATACTTCTCCTATATACATCACAAGGTTGTTAGAAGATCACATATATCAAATAAATCAAATATTGATATATATCAAATGCCAGTTCTCACCATCTTCATCAGGGCCTCATAAATTGCCATCCTTTGGGTGTTAACTGGGGCCCCCAAAATGAAAACCAAAGTCCTTTGCTTTGCCAGTTGAATACAGGAGCAAAGACTAGCTCATAGCGCATTGCTATTTCAACGCTTTTACCAAAATGGTCTCAGATGAATTGAATAGGTAATGAAATTAGCCAGCCCCACTAAGATAGAGAGTGAGAGTCTGCCCTAGAATAGGCTATGGAAAAATGAGCGGTATCTTCTCTTCAGAAAGCCCTGAGGTCATGCTAGTCATCTGCCTGTGGTACACCAGGATATTAAAAATAATACCACAACAATACGCTGGACACAGTTAACATGATGAAAAGGCCGATGAGATTATACATAAAAAAGAAATGCTGCCTTTCTGTTAGAGACAGAAAAAAGTGTTAATACAAATGAACAGCTGTTTGGGAAGAAAACATCATTTCCAAAACCCAGACAAAGCTCTGTTTATTACATTTCAGAGACATTTAAATTATAGTGTCTGAAAAACGATCCTATCATGGGTATCTGTGACACCTAAATTATCTGAAAATCTGAAAGGTTAAGCCGAAACAGAGGCTGTGTGAAAGACTAACATACAGAAAATTCTTTTTTCTCAAAGGATGAGGTGAATAAATCCTTTGCATGGGATAACTGAATGAGTACTAAGTTTCAGGACTAAACTTTTTGAATATCCAATAGAACATAGTACATTCAAAATTGATTTAAAGATGTTAATGTATGCTCTTCCAAAATTCGAAAAGCCAAATTCACGACTCCCATTGGCCTGTTGCTGTTCCTGTGTTCTTCACGCTGGTTCTCCTGGCTCGCTACTGCCTCCAGCTCCAGGCCTGTCTCAGATGCTCCACAGAAGGCCTGGTCAGCTCTCTCTGCTCACAGTGCCAGGCCAGGCCTATCATGGGAGGTGTTGGGCATGGCAGCCACTGAAGCAGGCTTGGGCAGGAATTTGTTCCCACCAGCCCCGACCCTCCCAAAAGAGACCATGACTCACCCATGCCTTTTCCATGGACTAGCATGTACCCAGCCATCTCTAGGCATTTCTAGAGAATAAACTGTCACACTTTAGTAAAAAAATTCTAGCTAAGGAAAAATAAAGGAAACTGTATTTAGTTGGCCCTAGGGAAAGTGAAACAATGATCAAATGATTGATCACACTGGGAGTCACTGTTACAGTCCAGTAGAGGTGGAATGCTGTATCTTTGTCCAGTCGATTCAATTAAAATACAGACATTAGAATGGAAAAACAACACACAGAAGAATACTCAAGTCTGTAATCACCTGTGACATGTACTGGAGCTTTCAATCTAGGTATCCTCACGATGGGGTGACCAGGACTTGAATGCCAGTGGGTCATCCAGCAGGAAGGAGTCTCACTCACCCTATGCAAGCATGCTTGCCTGCCTGCCTGCCTTTTCCCTCCATCGACTTCTTGTTTATTGTCCTATCTTACTTCCTACACACCTCACACGGTGTTGTGCAGCTTAGTTAGTCTGCGAAGGCTTGAGATTTTTCTGATGAAAGGTGTTATGGTGTTATGTAAATACACAGTATTATTTTGTCTTTATTCCAGCAATACTGGTTTGAAATAGTTCAATGTGTGTAAATATGTGTAATAATGTGTATTAATTTGATTTTTTTTAGCAATTCCTTGGCATCCCAGTTAACTAAGTGGCAGCAACCTTACTTGCCTGATGAAATATTAAGTATAGTTACAGAAAACTATTAACTGGTCTTTGTCCCTTTCAAATCAAATGCTAACTATATTAGTCTTCTAAGCACTTGTAATAATCTGCTTGAATACTAGACAGAATTACCAAGTTGTGACCTCCCATGAATAAAACAGAGGTATATGCAAAGGTTAAGGTTCATAACATAGCAACTAGCCCACCCCAGAGGATGGGAACAGGTGTGTAAGCTCCCCGAAAACAATTCGTGTAACTGGAAAACCTAAGTGAACAACATTCAGAAAAAGCACCACCAATGCCACCACATGCTTCAAACTCTAATTTACAAAAATCACTTTTAGGATCAGGTGTCAAACAGGGCCATGTTAATTGTGATAGCCACTTTTGTTCCCCTCTAGGAACAGCATTTCATCCAACCATGTTAACAATTTTGGGTCAAGAGGACATGAGCACAGCAACCCAACTTTCTACACAAGGCTCTGAATGAAGGGTTATTTTCAGCCGTCTCTCTAGCCAATGGCACCTACCCCTGCTGGCTCTCACGGGAACACCGAGAGTTCACATCCATCCCTTGGATGGGTATTTCCAAGAGATTTCATGATTTAAACAGTCTATGTGGCCATGTGCCCTACTGGCAGAACGGTCTCATTACCCTCCCTATCGAAGATGTCGGAGTACCACCCAGGCAAACAGAGTCAAAGGTGCAGGCTCTGGACTCATCACAAAGACAGGGAGAAGATGTCAGTGGATTACTAAAAACTCAAAAACCTAATCATATGGTGAATTTAATGAGTAATATTACCATGGATTACATTTTTGTTACATATATTATTTTTTCCCTCCCAAGATAAAAGTCTGGTTTTAGACCCATATTGTGAGTGGACTGTGCTATATTAGGCATTACAGGAAGCGGTTTCCATCAGGCTGGTCTTGGGGCTGGACAGACACAGGAGCAGCCCTGGCTGGCTGGGCAGTCAGGAGGTCCAGCAAGGCACAGAATCATGTCCTCATATTGGGGATGTCAGGGCTGTCAGCCAGAAGTCATGTGCTTCTTCTCATTTTGGGTCTTAAGTCTAAAATTGTTTTCTAAAGTGTGCAATCCAAAAAAATATTAGAAGAGAAAGGGCCTTATTCTCCTCTGCATACACTGCCTCTCCCTAGCCATCAAGTGTTGCCACTCTACAGAGCTCCTCTTGGCCTTCTCATGCTTACCTGTTCCTTCTTCTGTGCCCTACCCATGGCTCTTACCACAGTGCACTATGACTGTCTGCCTCCTGCACTAAAATGTTAGCTCCTTGAGAGTCAGGACTGAATCCTGCTGGTACCCATAGCATCCAGCACAGTGTCCAATACATGCAGCTGTTGAATGAAAGAATGCATTTTTAAGAACAGCATCAGTGGACTTGACTGTGTTTTGAAAGCTCCTATTGGCCCTGGATCAGATGTCACAGGGTAAGGGGAAAGATTTATTTATCTTTTAAAATAAACAGCTTTCAGAGAACCACTGACAAAACCATTTCCACCTTTGGTGGAAGCAGAGAGTTGGTTGCATGTGTGGCAGTCATATACTTTTTTTGTCTTCCAAAGAGCCTAGGGTTTTTTTTTGTTTTGTTTTGTTTTGTTTTTTGCCAAAAGATGAGAGAAGGCAAATATCTTGGTGCAGAAAAGGCCTTGGGGACTTTCTAGGTAAACAATTTCACTGGCAGCAGCTGGGGACCCAACAGCACTATGATATTGCTAAAGCTGTTTAAATGCAGTGCACACATAGGTGCTGGTGTCTTCTGGCTGTACAAAAGGTAGGAGTTTTAAGATAATGTGAAAAAAATACAATGTAAATTTGTTCTACTATTCATGCATTCATTTTTGCTCAGCAAATATTTTCTGAGCACCTACAATGTCTTCTTTACTGGGCGTTGGGATACAGTGGAGAACAAGACAGCCAAGATTTCACTCCAAGGAGGTTGCATAGTTGTTAGCAAGATGACATTTGTGAAAAGGATGTGTGTATGACAGTGTTAGGAGGGAAACCTCACTGGTTACTGTCCTTACCTTCACAGCCACACAGCCCCTTACCTAAAAAGATATTGCTTTCTGTCATGTCTTTATATGCACGAGATGACTTTTGCTATCATTTGTTTATGGAGGGTTATTTTTAGAGGCAGGGATGATAGGAACGAGAACACTGGAGCTCACCACTCCACAGGTTCCTCCTCTTCTAGATCATGCATCCCAGCTCCTGCAGTTGGTTGAGCCAGGTGACTTGAGTTCTGGCAAATGGGGAAGGGCAGAAAGTAGTGGGCTCAATCCTCGGCCTGGCCTCCAAACCTTTCCTGCAGCCCCCTTCATTCCCTCTGTGCTACACTGATGCAGGGTTGAGAAGTGGTGGAGAGAGGGTAAGGTAAAGTGAAATCTTAGAGTAAAGAACCAATGGGATAAGATCTCATTCCAAAGATGTTGTGTTTCACTTACCTGAAGTCCAAGTACCTCTTATGAGCTCTGATCACAGTGGCTACCAAAATATATTAGGTATTAGCCCTTCCCCTCGAAGAGGTCATGACCCATTTGGGCTCGGAAAAGACCTTTGCACATGGGAACAAGCAGTAAATATGTGTGTGAGGGCTGTGGGCCAGGTGGAGGTGAATCTTCTTAGAATTGAGAAGAGGAATTCATCCAAGAAAACACCTCCCTTGACGCTAAAGCTCTGTATAGTATTGAGTTTTAAAAATGTACCATGGTACATTTAGACGCACCAATAGTCCAGAAATAAGGAATGGGATGAAAATGAAACAGACTGCCTCAGTGGTAACAAAGGTTCCAATGAAATAAATGTCAGAACTCAGCAGAATGGTCATGTAGCTCAGCTCTGTCTGACTGTGCCAAGAAAGAGAAAACATCTCTCATCAGTGCAAATTTTTTGAAGATGAAGAAAATGGACTTCTGAAGCCTCTTAAAGACTCTGAAAGTCATGCCACAGATACAGTTACAAGGAACTGGTAACTCCTCAAAACCATGCTGCGGAATTAAAGCAAAGACTTCAGATGCTACTCTCCCCAAACAGAATTCATGGGGACCTCGAGGTCAGTGACACCTTTCAGAGCACAGACTGGAATAGTCAGAGTGACCCAATGTACTCTCCCTTTGATCAACCTTACATTTGACTGCATTTTAGTAAATTATCCATGTAGTTGTATTTTGACAGCTCTCTTTACAGCAGTAAAACAAAATGTGTGCATCGCAAATGGCAAAGATTCAAATTTCAGCTATGTTTATCCAAAATAGCGCTGAACTGCTTCTGTACTTCTGCTATACTGCCTACAGCTTTACGGAAGGGAAGACAGATGGGATGAATTTAGCAGGGAAACAGCTGTGGCTTGAAGAAGAGACAAGCAAAAGTTTTGCTATCAGGCTTCATTATGTATCAAGGTACCAGTAAAATGTGTACCCGTAAGGCAGCCAAAAAAGTGTTTTTCATTTGACTAGTGATAATTACCTTTTCTCAACAGCTGACAATGTTCTAAGTAGCATTAAATAGGTATAATAATTAAGCAATAAGATACAAGCGTCAGTGCCTCACTGGGAATTGTGGTTTTCTTCAGGTGTGCTGGGAGGCACAGGCTAAGAGGCCACAGACTTCCACCACCTGAGAAAGGGAACAAGCCGAACACGCTGCCGTCAGGGGTGCAACAAACAGAAAAAGGAGAAAAAGCTACACAGGGGAGAGGGAAGCTGGGGACTTATTGGTGTGGCCACAACATTACCGAAATAGAGTTAAGTCAATGCCCATCTCCAGTATTTCCATCTCTTTCTTCACAATAAACATGCTTCAGTCACACTTTGTTCCAGTCAGCTAGGGCTGCTCTACCTATAGCTTGTGAAAATGGAAAATTGGGCTTTTGGTCCTCTGAATCATCTTTATCCATTTTTAAATGTCCAATCAGATGTTCTTCAAAATGGACCTGCTTCAACTTTCTGTGAACAGGAAATGTCCAGTTTTGACATGACTGGCGTGGTGATCAGTCACACTGTGAGTTGGGTGGACTGTGAGTGACTGTTCCCTGCTGGCGCCAATTCCATTCCTGCGGGTCGCCTCAGGGAAGGCTGACCAACATGCCACCAGAATCCTCCCGGAGATCCTCCTAGAGAAAGTAGTGCTCGCTACACACACTTTGTGTTTAAAATAAGAAATCATCCATTTTGTGAAAAAAAAAATCATGCCTCTTTATCTCAATAGAGGCTTCTATATTGGGTGACCAAAAAATAATATAATGTATGAGCATTATTAACACCTGATAAATTGTTCTAATAAATAGATTCTTTACAAATCTAATGTATGTCACACTGGTGAATAACATCATGTTCCACTCAGATCAATAACATTAATATTGCCATGGTAACAGAAGGGAGAAAGGCAGAGAAAGCCTTAAAAAAGAACAAACAAAATAAGACCTATATGCAATAATCCCTTGAGTGACAGTGACATTTGGTAGTACAAATTTTCCTAAACAGCTTGGAATTACCACGTCACCATTTATTACCATTGAGTGGTAATAAAAAAAAGCATTAGCATACTCAGAAGCACGTGCAAACTGATTAGAAACTTACTAGCTTCTCGAGGCCTGGGCAGGAGGATCACTTGAGGCCAGGAGTTCAAGACCAGCCTGGGCAATGTAGTGAGACCTCATCACCAGAAAAAATAAAAATATCAGCTGAGGGTGTTGGTACGCCTGTAGTCCCAGCTACTCAAGAGGCTGACGTGGGAGGATCACTTCAGCACAGGAGTTAAGGCTGCCACGAGCTATGATTGTGCCACTGCACTCCAACCTGCACAACAGAGTTAAACCCTGTCTCTTAAAAAACAAAAACTTATTAGCTTTCTAAATATTTTAGTATCACCTTCCATTCCCACTCTTCCAAAAGGTTGTGTTTTCTTTCATTTTAGGTACAATTATTTCCACCCCCCACCCCCCAAGCCTTTCTGTAATACACCTCCGTTCTTCAGTGACTTGTTTCTGGCAGAACGTGCTGAACCTCTGGCCTCCTCCACCTTATTGAGTCTTGAAAAGCCCCATGTTAGCCACTGATTTTCCAGGTTCAACAGGACCATCTTCTCTTTAGAGGCAGAAAGATACTATGAACTTTCAGTGAGAGCACAAGCTTTCGAGTCAGGCAAACCTATTTAAATTCTAGCTTTCCCTCCTAGGACTGTGCAGCTGTGGCCACACTTCCTCCCTCCGAGCCTCCACTTCCTCAATCATAAATTGGAAGAAACCTTGAAAGACTATTGTAAAGACTATTGTAAAGTACAGTAATGTCTGAGTGAATTGTCAATAACTAGGGACTACTTTTTTCATTATGGGAAGGAAAGGCTTTACCAAATTGTCCTTTCTGTCACTCTTTTATTTCAGATTATTGCCCCTCTGCTTTTTCTTCTCACTCTCCATAGTCTGCCTCAAATTTAAGGTAACATAAACACATTTGAAACTGGTAATATTTTACTATCTCCACCACATTTTTCTCCATCTATCAGAACACAAGAATTTCCCACATAGAGATATTCATGCAATAGCTTAAGGCACGTATCTTGGGACTCAATTCAGAAACTGATCAGACGTCCCTTGTAGGAAAACAGTGGCAGTTTAGTGGCAGGAATGCCGTTTAGAGATCACTGACAATGGGAATATAAAACAATGCCATATCTGACTGGAATCACAGGAAGCGCTTCTAAAAATTTTTACTATTATGGGAGCTAAAATATTGCTAAGATTCTTCAAATCAGCATCCCTTCTTCCCAGAATTGGCAGCCACACTGCCCAGGTTCACGTTTGGCATCTATCACATAGTAGCTGTGTGACCTTCAGCCTGTTACTCAACCTCACTGTGCCTCAGTTTCCTCATTGTTAAAATGGGGATATTGCTAGTACTCGCTTCATGTGGTGGTTATGAAAATTCAGTGGGTTTAAAAGGTAAGTGCTTAGAAGAGGAGCTGGTACATAGCAAGCACGCTCTAAAGTTAGCTGCTGCTACTACAGTGATGAGAATTACAATGACGATTATTATATATTTATTATATCTTACATAATTATATATTATATAATAACAATTATTATTGCAAGAGGTGTCAGGAAATTTTTACATGGTAGCAAGAAGCTTAACACAACATTCGGTGCTGTCAAACTGTGGAAATTAGGGAATCAAGGACAGGGCCAGAACCAAGAATTCTTGAAACACAAAAGCAGAGGCCAGGGTCCCTGGCCAGGGAGGCTAAAGGATGGTTGAGCTTCTTACAGCAAAGACCTTAAGATTGTGTGTGCTGAGTAGTCAGATGTCTTCACGAGAACACTTCTAAAATTAGTAACTCACTCTGACCCACACAAAAGTCAAGATGAGGACAGAACTGTATCTTGTGTCTTCGTCATTTTGGGATGGGTCCTGAAGGTTTCTGCAGGACCTCTATCCATACCAGCACACCTGACAATTATATTTCTGCCAGAGAGTGATGCCTAACATATTATAGCCAAATTTTAAAATCTGTTTAGAAAAGAGACGAAAACACATATTAACAGACTAGCAGCAATGCTGCCTCACAGTATAAGTCAATAAAATCCCTGTCTCCTGGTTTCCTCATATTGTAAATGGTAATAACCACCCTTGATAACCACTTAACAGAGGGATTGGAGAGTGCCAGCTGAAATTTGCAAAGTACGCTTGAGGTTGCAATTATGTAAACATCGAAATGATCTCTCTTTTAAGAATGAATTTTGAGCGACTTAAATCAAAGTGTTAAGGACAAAAGCTTCATAAAATGCATGAAAAATTGGACTTAGATACTATACTTTGAAATCAACCATCAGCATTACAAATGTCACGTATGCACCGACTGTTACCAGCAGAGAAGTTCAAAAGTAAATACACCGCATTTGACAACCTAATCCTCAATGCATGATGCTAGTCAATAATGGGAAGCCACTGCAAATATGGAAACTGACAGGCCAAGCAAAGCAAATATATTTTTACTTAAACGGTGAATTCTTTCTGTACATTTTCTACAGGGCTCCTATAAGTCATTTAAAATATTCGGTTCTGAATGACCACTTTAAACAGAAAGAATGATGCTTTGGATCTAAAACCGATGATTAAACAATGCGGACATTTACATGAATTATTTTTGGTTTTGTGATAATTTTCATTGTTGACATGACACTGAGAATGAAACTTCTTTTATGGCTTCAGGATCAACAGAATAGACACATGCTATTCTGAATATGAATATTTATAAGATTTTTCCTTAAAGAAAAAAATATGAAATAATCAATAAATTATTTTTTTACAAAATAAGGTGCACTCAACCAAAAGAGAATCAAAGATCTGTTGATTCCTCAGAAAGCATTAATGTTTCTAGCATGCGTGATAAATACCTACGAGTCTTCCGCCCATTTTCCTTTTTGGAAGTTCATCACTGTATATTCTGTGACAATCTGCTCCCCTAGAATTTGGAATTTGAATAAAACAGATTTGGTTGCTTTTTCCTCAGATGAATGCACAAAGACCCTTAAAAACAAATGTTCTTTAAAAGTGTGATGCCTGTATTTAACATTTATTAAAGATATAGCATCTACCAAAAGATT